>NC_000021.9:5216246-5393558 GCF_000001405.40 Homo sapiens | reverse complement strand
GAATTCTGAGAAAATTTTTGTGATGTATGCATTCACCTCAGAGAGGTGAACTTTTCTTTTGATGGAGCAGTTTGGAAACAGTCTTTTTATAGTATCTGCAGAAGGATATTTGTGAGCGGTTTAAGGCCTATGGTGAAAAAGGAAATATCTTCACATAAAAACGAGACAGTAGCTTTCTGAGAAACTTCTTTGTGATGTGCGCATTCATCTAACAGTGTTGAAACTTTATTTTGTTTGAGCAGTTTAGAAACAGTCTTTTTCTGCAATCTGCAAAGGCATATTTCTGAGCCATTTGAGGTCTATGGTGAAAAAAGAAATATCTTCACATTTAAAATAGACAGAAGAATTCTGAGGAACTTCTTTGTGATGTCTCCATTCATCTGACAGAGTTGAAGGTTTCTTTTAATTCAGCACTTTGGAAACCATATTTTTGTAGAATCTGCAAAGGGATATTTTTGAGACATTTGAAGCCTATAGTGAAATAGTAAATATCTTCACATAAAAACTAGACAGGAGAATTCTGAGAAACTTCATTCTGATGTGTGCATTCACCTCACAGAATTTAACCTTTATTTTGACTGAGCAGTATGGAAATGGTCGTCTTTTAGAATCTGGAAAGGTATATTTCTTAGCACTTTGAGGCCTGTGGTGAAACTGGAAATATCTTCACATGAAAACTAGACCAAAGCTTTCTGAGAAACTTCTTTGAGATGTGTGCTTTCATCTCACAGAGTTAAAACTTTCTTTTGATTCAGCAGTTTGGAAACACTCTTTTAGTGAAATCTGTAAATGGATATTCAGAGCACTTTGAGGCCAATGGTGACAAAGGAAATATCTTCACGTAAAAACTAAACAGAAGTTTTCTGAGAAACTACTTTTTGATGTGTCCATTAATCTAACAGAGTTGAAACTTTCTTTTTATTTAGCACTTTGGATACAGTATTTTTGTAGAATCTGCAAAAAATATTTGTGAGCCCTTTATTGCCTATGGTGAAATAGGAATTTTCTTCACATATAAACTAGACAGAAGCACTCTGAGAAACTTCTTTGTGATGTGTGCATTCATCTCACATAGTTGAAACTGTCTTTTGATTGAGGAGTTTGGAAACACTCTTTTTCTAAAATCTACAAATGGATATTTGGAGAGCTTTTGAGGCCCATGGTGAAAAACGAAATATCTTCACATAAAAACTAAACAGAAGTTTTCTGAGAAACTTCCTTGTGATGTGTGCATTCATCTCACAGAGTTGAACCTTTCTTTTGATTGAGCAGGTTGGAAAGAGGCTTATTGTACAATCTGCAAATGGATAATTCTGATCCGTTTGAGGCCTATGGTGAAAGAGAAATATCTTCACATAAAAACTAGACAGAATCATTCCAAGAAATTTCTTTGTGATGTGCCCATTCATCTCACAGAGTTGAACCTTTCTTTTGATTGAGCAGTTTGGACACAGTCTTTTTGTAAAACCTTCAAAGGGATAATTGTGAGCCCTTTATGGCCTCAGGTGAAATAGGAAGTATCTTCACATACATACTAGAGAGAAGCTGTCTGAGTAACATTTTTGTGATGTGTGCTTTCATCTCAGAGAGGTAAAAATTTGTTTTGATTGATCAGTTTGGAAACAGTCTTTTTATAGAATCTGCAAATGGATATTTGGATTGCTTTGAGGCCTATGTTGAGAAAGGTAATATCTTCACATAAAAACAAGACAGAAGATTTCTGAGAAACTCCTCTTTTATGTGTGCATTCATCTCACCGGTTTGAACCTTTCTTTTGATTGAGCAGTTTGGAAACAGTCTTTTTGTACAATCTACAAAGGGATAATTCTGAACGGTTTGATGCCTATGGTGAAAAAGAAATATCTTCACATAAAAACTAGACAGAAGCATTATGATAAACTAATTAATATGTGTGCATTCGTCTCACAGAATTGAACTTTTCTTTTCATTTAGCAGTCCGAAAACTGTCTTTTTGTAGAGTCTGCAAAGGGATATTTGTGAGATCTTTGAGGCCTATGGTGATATAGGAAATATCTTCACAAAAAAAGTAGACAGAAGCATTATGGGAAACTTCTTCATGTTGTGTGCTTTCTTCTCACAGATTTGAATCTTTTTTTTAATTGAACAGTTTGGAAACTCTCTTTTTGTAGAGTTTGCAAAAGGATATTTGGATTGCTTTGAGGCCTATGGTGAAAAAGGAAATATTTTCACTTAAAGACTAAACAGAAGCTTTCTGAAAAACTTCTCTGTGATGTGAGTATTCATGTCACAGTGTTGAACCTTTGTTTTCATTGAGCAGTTTGGAAACCATCTTTTTGTACAATCTTCAAAGGGATATTTCTGAGAAGTTTGAGGCCTACAGTGAAAAACAAATATCTTAACACAAAAACTAGACAGAGGCATTCTGAGAAACTTCTTATTCATGTGTGCATTCATCTCCCAGAGTTGAACCTTTCTCTTCATTGAGAAATTCAGAAACAGTCTTTTTGTAGAATTTGGAAGAGGATATATGTGAGCCCACTGAGGCCCATGGTGAAATGGGAAATATCTTCAAAGGAAAACTAGACAGAAGCATTCTGAGAAACTTCTTTGTGATGTTTGCATTCCTCTCACAGAGTTGAAACTTTGTTTTGATTGAGCAGTTTGGAAAAACTCTTTTTGAAGTATCTGCAAAAGGATATTTGGAGCACTTTGTGGCTTGTGGTGAAAAACTAAATATCTTCACATAAAATCTAGTGAGAAACTTTCTGAAGAACTTCTTTGTGATGTATGCTTTCATCTCACAGAGTTGAAAATTTCTTTTGATTGAGCAGTTTGGAAACAGTATTTTGTAGAATCTGCAAATTGATAATTGGATTGCTTTGAGGCCTATCATTAGAAGGGAAATATCTTCACATAAAAACTAGACAGAAGATTTCTGAGAAACTTCTTTGTGACGTGTGCTTTCATCTCACAGAGTTGAACTGTTCTTTTGATTGAGCAGTTAGGAAGCAGTCTTTATCTACAATCTGCAAAGGGATATTTCTGAGGGGTTTGAGGCCTACGGTGAAAAAGAAATATCTTCACATAAAAACTAGACAGAAGTATTCTGAGAAACTTCTTTGTGATGTGTGCTTTCATCTAACAGGTTTGAAACTTTCTTTTGATTGAGCAGTTTGGAAACAGTCTTTTTGTAGTCTACAAAGGGATATTTCTGAACGGTTTGGTGCCTATAGTGAAAAAGGAATATCTTCACATAAAAACTAAACAGAAGAATTGTGAGAAACTTCTTTTTTATGTGTGCATTCGTCTCACAGAGTTGAACCTTTCTTTGCATGGAGCAGTTTGAAACAGTCTTTTTGTAGAGTCTGCAAAGGGATATTTGTGAGCTCTTTGAGGCCTATGGTGAAATATGAAATATCTTCACATAAAAACCAGACAGAAGCATTATGAGGAACTTCTTTGTGATGTGTGGTTTCATCTCACAGAGATGAAGGATTCCTTTGATTGAACAGTTTTCAAGCAGCCTTTTTGTAGTATCTGCAGAGGGATATTTGGGAGTCGTTTAAGGCCTATGGTGAAAAAGGAAATATCTTCACATCAAAACTAGACAGAAGCATTCTGAGAAACTTCTTTATGATGTGTGCATTCATCTCACAGAGTTGAACTTTTTTTGTGATTGAGCCGTTTGGAAACAGTCTTTTTGTGTAATCTGAAAATGGATATTTGGAGCACTTTGAGGCCTATTGTGAAGAAGGAATTATCTTCACATAAAAACTAGACAGAAACTTTCTGAGAAACTTCTTTGTGATGTTTGCATTCATCTCACAGAGTTGAACCTTTCTTTGCATTTGACAGTTTGGAAACAGTCTTTTAGTACAATATGCAAAGGGATATTTCTGAACCATTTGAGGCCTATGGTGAAAAATAACTATGTCAGATAAAAACTAGACAGAAGCATTCTGAGAAACTTCTTTTTCATGTGTGCATTTATCTCATAGAGTTGAACCTGTCTTTTCATTGAGCAATTTGGAAACAGTCTTTTTGTACAATCTGCAAAGGGATATTTCTTAGCCATTTGAGGCCTATGGTGAAAAAGACATATCTTCACATAAAAACTAGGCAGAAGCATTCTGAGAAACTTCTTTGTGATGTGTCCATTCGTCTCACATAGTTGAACCTTTGTTTTTGATTGAGCTGTTTGCAAACTGTCTTTTTGTAGAGTCTGCAAAGGGATATTTGTGAGTCCTTTATGGCCTACGGTGAAACAGGAAATATCTTCACATAAAACTAGACAAACATTCTGAGAAACTTATTTGTGATGTGTGCTTTCATCTCACAGAGTTGAAACTTTCTTTTGATTGAGCAGTTTGGAAAGAGGCCTTTTGTAGTATCTGAAAAGAGACGTTTTTGAGCCCATTGAGGCCTATGGTGAAAGAGGAAATGTCTTCACATATAAGCTAGACAAAAACTTTCTGAGAAAATTCTTTGTGATATGTGCTTTCATCTCACAGAGTAGAATCTTTCTTTTCATTGAGCAGTTTGGAAACAGTCTTTTTGTAACATCTGCATAGGGATATTTCTGAGCGGTTTGAGGCCTATGGTGACAAAGAAATATCTTCACATAAAAACTAGACAGAAGCATTCTGAGAAACTTCTTTTTTTAGGTGTGAATTCATCTCACAGAGTTGAAACTTACTTTTCATTGAGCAATTCTGTAACAGTCTTTTTGTAGAATCTGCAAAAGGATATCTGTGAGCCCTTTGAGGCCTATGGTGTAACAGGAAATACCTTCATTTAAAAACTAGACAGAAGCATTCTGAGTAACTTCTTTGTGATTTGTGCTTTCATCTCACAGAGATGAAACTTTCCTTTGATTGAGCAGTTTGGAGAAACTCTTTTTGTACAATCATCTGCAAAAGATATTTGGTGCACTTTGTGGACTATGGTGAAAAAGGAAATATCTTCACATAAAAACTAAAAAGAAACTTTCTGAGAAACTTCTTTGTGATGTGCACTTTATTTTATTTTATTTTATTTTATTATTATTATACTTTAAGTTTTAGGGTACATGTGCACAATGTGCAGGTTAGTTACATATGTATACATGTGCCACGCTGGTGTCCTGCACCCATTAACTCATCATTTAGCATTAGGTATATCTCCTAATGCTAACCCTCCCCCCTCCCCCCACCCCACAACAGTCCCCAGAGTGTGATGTTCCCCTTCCTGTGTCCATGTGTTCTCATTGTTCAAATCTCACCTATGAGTGAGAACACATGGTGTTTGGTTTTTTGTCCTTGTGATAGTTTACTGAGAATGATGATTTCCAATTTCATTCATGTCCCTACAAAGGACATTAACTCATCATTTTTTATTGCTCCATAGTATTCCATGTGTATATGTGCCACATTTTCTTAATCCAGTCTATCATTGTTGGACATTTGGGTTGGTTCCAAGTCTTTGCTATTGTGAATAGTGCTGCAATAAACATACACGTGCATGTGTCTTTATAGCAGCATGAAACCAATGAGAACAAAGACACAACATACCAGAATCTCTGGGACACATTCAAAGCAGTGTTTAGAGGGAAATTTTTAGCACTAAATGCCCACAAGAGAAAGCAGAAAAGATCTAAAATTGACATCCTAACATCACAATTAAAAGAACTAGAAAAGCAAGAGCAAACACATTCAAAAGCTAGCAGAAGGCAAGAAATAACTAAAATCAGAGCAGAACTGAAAGAAATAGAGACACAAAAAAACCCTTCAAAAAATTAATGAATCCAGGAGCTGGTTTTTTGAAAGGATCAATAAAATTGATAGACCGCTAGCAAGACTAATAAAGAAGAAAAAAGAGAAGAACCAAATAGATGCAATAAAAAATGATAAGGAGGATATGACCACCGTCCCCACAGAAATTCAAACTACCATCAGAGAATGCTACAAACCCCTCTATGCAAATCAACTAGAAAATCTAGAAGAAATGGATAAATTCTTTGACATATACACCCTCTCAAGACTAAACCAGGAAGAAGTTGGATTTCTAAATAGACCAATAACAGGCTCTGAAGTTGTGGCCATAATCAATAGCTTACCAACCAAAAAGAGTCCAGGATCAGATGGATTCACAGCCGAATTCTACCAGAGTTACAAGGAGGAACTGGTACCATTCCTTCTGAAACTATTCCAATCAATAGAAAAAGAGGGAATCCTCCCTAACTCATTTTATGAAGCCAGCACCATCCTGATAACAAAGCCGGGCAGAGACACAACCAAAAAAGAGAATTTTAGACCAATATCCTTGATGAACACTGATGCAAAAATCCTCAATAAAATACTGGCAAACCGAATCCAGCAGCACATCAAGAAGCTTATCCACGATGATCAAGTGGGCTTCATCCCTGGAATGCAAAGCTGGTTCAATATATGCAAATCAATAAATGTAATCCAGCATATAAACAGAACCAAAGACAAAAACCACATGATTATCCCAATAGATGCAGAAAAGGCCTTTACAAAATTCAACAGCCCCTCATGTTAAAAACTCTCAATAAATTAGGTATTGATGGGACGTATCTCAAAATAATAAGAGCTATCTGAGAAACTTCCTTGTGATGTGTGCATTCATCTCACAGAGTTGAGCCTTTCTTTTGATTGGGCAGTTTGGAAACAGTCTTTTTGTAGAATCTGCAAAGTGATATGTTTCAGTGGTTTGAATCCAATGGTGAAAAAGGAAATATCAAAAAATAAAATGTAGACAGTAGCTTTCTGAAGAACTTCTTTGTGATGTGTGCATTCATCTCACAGGGTTGAAACTTCTTTTGATTGACCAGTTTGGAAACAGTCTTTTCATAGAAAATGCAAAGTGATATTTGTGAATGCTTTGAGGCTTATGGTGAAAAAGGAAATATCTTCACATAAAAACTAGACTCATGTTTTCTGGGAAACTTCTTTGTAATGGGTGTATGCATCTCAAAGACTTGAATCTTTCTTTTGATTGAGCAGTTTGTAAAAAGTCTTTTTGGAGAATCTGAAAAGGGATGTTTTTGAATGGTTTGAGGCATGTGATGAAAAAGGAAATATCTTCATATAAAAACTAGACAGAAACATTCTGAGAAACCACTTTGTGATGCATGCATTCATCTCACAGAGTTGAATTTTCTTTCATTGAGCAGATTGGAAACAGTCTTTTTGTAGAATATGCAAAGTGATATTTGTGAGCTTTCTGAGGCCTATTGTGAAAAAGGAAATATCCACAAATAAAATCTAGACAGAAGCCTTCTGAGAAAGTTCGTTGTGATGTCTGCATTCATCACAAAAAGTTGAACCTTTCTTTTGATTGAGCAGTTTGGAAACAGTCTTTTCATAGAATCTGCAAAGGAAAATTTGGGAACGCTTTGAGGTTTATGGTGAAAAAGAAGTATCTTCACATAAAAACTAGACAGAAACGTTCTGAGAAACTTCTTTTTGATGTGTGCATTCATCTCACACAGCTGAAATTTCATTTGATTGAGCAGTTTGGAAATAGTCCTTTTGTAGAACCTGCAAAGGGTTATTTATGAGCAGTTTAAGGCCTATGGTGAAAAAGGGAGTATCGACAAATAAAAACTAGACAGAAACGTTCTGAAAAACTTCCCTGTGATGTGTGCATTCATCTCACAGAGTAGAAACTTTCTTTGATTGAGCCGTTTGGAAACAGTCTTTTTGTAGAATCTGAAAAGGGTTATATATAGGCGGTTTCAGGTCTATGGTGAAAACGGAAATATCTTCACATAAAAACTAGACAGAAGCTTTCTGAGAAAATTATTTGAGATGTGCACATTCATCTCACAGATTTGAAGTGTTCTTTTCCTTGACCAGTTTGGATAGAGTCTTTTTGTAGAATCTGCTTTGTGATATTTGTGAGCCCTTTGAAGCCTATGGTGAAAAAAGTAATATCTTCACACAAAAACTAGACAGAAGCTTTCTGAGAAACTTCGTTGTGATGTGTGCATTCATCCCAAAAGTTGAACCTGTCTTTGGATTGAGCAGTTTGGAAACAGTCCTTTGTAGAATGTACAAAGGGATATTTGGGATCCCTTTTTGGTCTATGGTGAAAAAGGAAATGTCTTCAGATAAAAACTAGACAGAAGCATTCTGAGAAACTTATTTTTGATGTGTGCATTCTTCTCACAGAGTTAAACCTTTCTTTAGATAGAGCAGGTTGGAAAATGTCTTTTTGTAGAATCTGCAAAGTGATAATTTGAATGCTTTGAGACTTATGGTGAAAAAGGAAATATCTTCACATAAAAACTGGACGGAAGCTTTCTGAGAAACTTCTTTGTGATGTGTGCATTCATCTCAAAGAGTTGAAGCTTTGTTTCAGTTGAGCAGTTTGGTAACAGTCTTTTTGTAAAATCTGTAAAGGGACATTTGTGAGCACTTTGAGGCCTATATTGAAAAAGGAAACATCTTCATATAAAAACTAGACAGAAGCTTTCTGAGAAACTTCTTTGTGATGTGTGCATTCACCTCACAGAGTTGAAGCTTTCTTTTGATTGAGTAGTTTGGAAACAGTCTTCTTGTAGAATCTGCAAAGAGTTATTCATGAGCGATTTGAGGCCTATGGTGAAAAGGGAGTATCAACAAATAAAACTAGACAGAAACTTTTTGAGAAACTTCTCTGTGATGTGTGCATTCATCTCACAGAGTGGAAGCTTTCTTTGATAGAGCAGTTTGGAAATAGTCTTTTTGTAGAATCTGCAAAGGGATATATGTAGGCCGTTTGAGGTCTATGGTGAAAACGGAAATATCTTCACAAAAACTAACTGCTCAATGGGAAGAAATTTTTACTTCTCTGTGATAAATGCACATGTCACAAATGAGTTACTCAGAAAACTTCTTTCTACTTTTAATGTGAATATATTTCCTTTTTCACCATAAGCCTCAATGAACTCACAGATATCCCTTTGCAGATTCTACAAAAAGATTGTTTCCAAACTGCTCAATAAACAGAATGGTTCAACCCTGTGAGACGAATGTGCACATCACAAAGAAGTTTCTCAGAAAACCTCCTTCTCAGTTTTATGTGAAGATGTTTCCTTTTTGAACATAGGCCTCAATGCACTCCCAAATATACCTTTGCAGAATCTACAAAAAGACTGTTTCCAAACTGCTCAATCAAAAGAAAGTTTCAACTCTGTTAGATGAATGCACACATCAGAAAGTAGTTTCTCAGCAAGCTTCTCACTAGTTTTTATGTGAAGATAGTTCCTTTTTCAACATGGGTCTCAAAGCTCTCAAAAATACCCCTTTGCAGACTCTAGAATAACAGAGTTTACAAACTGCTCAATGAAAAGAAATGTTTACCTCTGTGAGATGAGTACACATATCTTAAAGGAGCTTCTCAGAATGCTTCTTTCTAGTTTTTATGTTAGATATTTCCTTTTCCACCATAGGCCTCAACTTACTCCTAAATATCCCTTTGCAGATTGTACAAAAAGCTGTTTCCAGACTGCTCAATCAAAACAAATGTTAAACTCTATGAGATAAATGCACACATCAAAAAAAGTTTCTCAGAAAACTTTTGTCTAGTTTTTATGTGAATATATTTCCTTATTCACCATAGGCCTCAAAGCGCTACAAATATCCCTCTGCAGATTCTACAAAAAGACTGTTTGCAAACTGTTCAATCCAAAGAATGTTTCAACTCAGTGTGATGAATGCACACATCCAAAGAAGTTTCTCAGAAACTTTCTTTATGGTTTTTCCCTGAAGATATTTCCTTTTTCAACACAGACCTCAAAGCCCTCACAAATATCCCTTTGCAGATTCTACAAAAAGACTGTTTCCAAACTGCTCAATAAAAAGAATTATTGAACACTGTCAGATGAATGCACACAGCTCAAAGAAGTTTCTCAGAATCCTTCAGTCTAGTTTTTATGTGAATATATTTCCTTTTTCACGATAGGCCTCAAAGTGCTCCAAATATCCGTTTGCAGAGTCTACAAAAAGACTGTTTCCAAACGGCTCAATCAAAACAAAGGTTCAACTCTGTGTGATGAATGCACACATCATGAAGAAGTTTCTTAGAATGCCTCTGTCTAGTTTTTCACCATAGGCCTCAAAGTGCTCACAAATATCCCTTTACAGATTCTACAAAAATACTTCTTCCAAATTGCTCAATCAAAAGAAAGGTTCAACTCTGTGAGTTGTATGCACACCACAAAGAGGTTTCTCAGAAAGCTTCTCTCTAGTTTTTATGTGAAGATATTTCCTTTTTCACCATAGGCCTCAAAGCATTCACAAATATCCCTTTGCAGATTCTACAAAAAGACTCTTTACACATGGCTCAATCAAAAGAATGTTTCAACTCTGTGAGGTGAATGCTCACATCACGAGGATGTTTCTCAGAAAGCTTCTGTGTAGTTTTTATGTGAAGATATTTCCTTTTTCACCATACACCTCAAAGGGCTCACAAATATCCCTTTGCAGATCTTACAAGAAAAGAGTTTCCAATCTTCTCAATGCAAAGAAACAGACACATCTGGGAGATGAATGCACATATCACAAAGCAGTTTCTGAGAAACATTCTGTCTAGTTTTTATGTGAAGGTATCTCCTTTTCCACCACAGGATGCAAAGCACTCAAAAATGTCCTTTTGCAGATTCTACAAAAAGATTGTTTCCACACTGCTCATCAAAAGAAAGGTTCAACTCTGTGAGATGAATGCACACGTCAAAAAGTAGTTTCTCAGAAAGCTTCTATTAAGTTTTTAAGTGAATGTTTCCTTTTTCCCCAGGAGCCTCAAGGTGCTCACAAGTATCCACTGGAGGAATATTTAAAAAGACTGTTTCCAAACTGCTCAATCAAAAGAAAGGTTGAACTGTGTGAGATGAATGCACACATCACAAAGAAGTTTCTCAGAAACCTTCTTTATAGTTTTTCCGTGAAGATATTTCCTTTTTCACCATAGGTCTCAAAGCCCTCACAAATATCTCTTTGCAGATTCCACAAAAAGATTGTTCCAAACCGCTCAATAAAAAGAATTATTGAACTTTGTGAGATGAATGGACACATCTCAGAGAAGTTTCTCAGAAACTTTCAGTCTGGTTTTTATGTGAATATATTTCCTTTTTCACCATAGGCCTCAAAGTGCTCCAAATATCCATTTGCAGAGTCTACAAAAAGACTGTTTCCAAATGGCTCAATGAAAAGAAAGTTTCTACTCTGTGAGATGAATGCACACATCACTAAGAAGTTTCGCAGGAGGCTTCTGTCTAATTTTTATATGAAGACATTTCCTTTTTCACCATAGGCCTCCATCTGCTCAAAAATATCCCTTAGCAGATTCTACAAGAACAGAATTTCCAGACTGATCAAACAACATAAACGTTTTTCTCTGTGAGATGAATGCACACATCACAAAACTTTTTCTCAGAAACGTTCTTTATACTTTTTATGTGATGATATTTCTTTTTTCTCCCTAGGACTCAAAGCGCTCAAAAATATCCTTTTGCAGATTCTACAAAAAGATTGTTTCCAAAGTGCTCAATCAAAAGAATAGTTCAACTCCATGAGATGAATGCATACATTACAAAGAAGTTTCTCAGAAACCTTCTTTATAGTTTTTATGTGAAGATATTTCCTTTTTCAACACAGGCCTCAAATTGCTCAGCAATATCCCTTTGTAGATTCTGCAAAAAGACTGCTTCCCAACTGCTCAATCAAATAAATGGTTGAACTCTGTGAGATGGATGCACACATCTCAAAGAGGTTTCTCAGAAATCTTCTGTCCATTTTTTATGTGAAGATATTTCCTTTTTCACCATAGCACTCGAAGTCGTGACAAATATCCCTTGCAGATTCTACAAAAATACTGTTTCCAGACTGCTGAATCAAAAGAATGGTTCAATTCTGTGAGATGATTGCACACATTACAAAGAAGCCACTAAGAAAGATTCTGTCTAGTTTTTATGTGAAGATATCTCCTTTTTCATCATAGGCCTCAAAGCACTCACAAATATCCCTTTGCAGATACTACAAGAACAGAGTTTCCAGACTGATCAAAGAAAATAAACGTTTACCTCTCTGAGATCAATGCACACACCACAAAGCTGTTTCTAAGAAACCTTCTTTATGCCTTTTATATAAATATATTTCCTTTTTCACCATTGGCCTCAAAGCTCTCATAAATTTCCCTTTGCAGATTCCACAAAAGATGGTTTCCATACTGATCAATCAAAAGTAAGTTTCAACTTTGTGAGATGAATGCCCACATCACAAAGAGGTTTCTCAGAAAACCTCTCTCTAATTTTTATGTGAAGATATTTCCTTTTTCACCATAGGCCTCAAAATACTCACAAATATCCCTTTGCAGAATCTACAAGAACAGTTTCCAGACAGATCAGAGAAAAGAAACGTTTACTTCTGTGAGATGAATGCATACATCACAAAGCTGTTTCTGAGAAACCTTGTTTATACTTTTTATGTGAATACATTTCCTTTTTCACCATAGGCCTCAAAGCACTCATAAATATCCCTTTGCAGATTCTACAAAAAGAGTGTTTCCAAACTGTTCAATCAAAAGAATGGTTGAACTCTACGAGATGAATGCACACATCATAAAGAAGTTTCTCGGAAAGCTTCTATCTAGTTTTTATGTGAAGATATTTCCTATTTCATCATAGGCCTCATACCACTCAAAAATATGCCTTTACAGATTCTACAAAAATACTGTTTCCAAATTGCTCAATCCAAAGAAAGTTTCAAATCTGTGAGATGAATGCACACATCACAAGGAGGTTTCTCAGAAAGCTTCTCTCTAGTTTTCATGTGAAAATATTTCGTTTTCACCATAGGCTTCAAAGCATCACAAATATTCCTTTGCAGATTCTACCAAAATACTGTTTACAAACTGCCCAACCAAAAGAATGTTTCAACTCTGTGAGACAAATTCTCGCATCTCCAAGATGTTTCACAGAAAGCCTCCGTCTAGTTTTTATGTGAAGATAATTCCTTTTTTACCATAGGCCTCAAAGTGCTAACAAATATCCCTTTGCAGATTTTACAAGAACAGAATTTCCAATCTGTTCAATGAAAAGAAATGGTTACCTCTGTGAGATGAAATCACACATCACAAGGCAGTTTCTCAGAAATATTCTGTCTAGTTTTTATTTAAAAATAATTCCTTTTCCAACATAGGACACAAAACACTAACTAATAACCCTTTGGAAATTCTACCAAATACTGCTTCCAAAATGCTCATCAAAAGAAAGGTTCACATCTGTGGGATGAATGCACATATCAAAAAGATGGTTCTCAGAAAGCTTCTATCTTGTTTTTATGTGAAAGTGTTTCCTTTTTCACCATGGGCCTCAAAGTGCTCAAAAATATCCCTTTGCAGATGCTAAAAAAGACTGTTTCCAAACCGCTGAGTCAAAGGAGTGGTTCAACTCTGTGAGATGAATGCACACATCATAAAGAAGTTTCTCACAAACCTTCTTTATAGTTTTTATGTGAAGATATTTCCTTTTAACCATAGACCTCTAAGTGCTCACAAATATCCCTTTGCAGATTCTACAAAAAGACGGTTTCCCAACTGCTCGATCAAAAGAATTGTTGAACTCTGTGAGATGAATACATACATCACAAAGCAGTTTCTCAGAAATCTTTAGTCTAGTTTTTATGTGAAGATACTTTCTCTTTCACCATAGGCCTCAAAGTGATCAGAAATTTCCCTTTACGGATTCCACAAAAAGACGTTTCCAAACTGCTTAATCAAAAGAAAGTTTCAATTCTGTGAGATGAATGCACACATCACCAAGAAGTTTCACAGTAGGCCTCTGTCTAGTTTTTATGTGAAGACAATATCTTTTTCACCATAGGGGTCTAGGCATTCAAAAATATCCCTTAGCAGATCCTACAAGAACAGAGATACCCAACTGATCAAAGAAAAGAATTGTTTACCTCTGCAAGATGAATGCAGACATCAAAAAACAGTTTCTCAGAAACCTTCTTTATAGTTTTCTGTGAAGATACTTCTTTTCCTGCATAGGCCTCAAAGTGCTCACAAATATCCGTTTGCAGATTCTTCAAAAAGACTGTTTCCAAACGGCTGAATTAAAAGAGACGCGCAAATCTGTGAGATGAATGCACATATCACAAAGAAGTATCTCAGAAACTTTCTTTATACTTTGAATGTGAAGATATTTCCTTTGTTACAATAGGCCTCAAAGTGCTCAAAAATACCCCCTTTGAGATTGTACAAGAACAGACTTTCCAGACTGATAGGAGAAAAGAAACACTTACCTCTGTGAGATGAATGCACACAACACAATGTTGTTTTTAGAAAACCTGCTTTATAGTTCTTATGTGAAGATATGACCTTTTCCACCATAGGATTCACAGCGCTCTAAATATCCAATGGCAGACTCTACAAAAAGAGTGTTTCCAAACTGCTCAACAAAAAGAAAGTCCAACTCTGTGAGATGAATGCACACAACACAAAGAAGTTTCTCAGAATGCTTCTGTCTACTTTTCATGTGAAGATATTTCCTTTTCCACCATAGGCGTCAAAGCGCTCTAAATATCCACTTGCAGATTCTACAAAAAGAGTGTTTCAAAACTGCTCAACCAAAAGAAAGGTTCAACTCTGCGAGCTGAAAGCACACATCACAAAGAAGTTTCTCAAAATGATTCCCTGTAGTTTTTATGTGAAGATATTTCCTTTTCCACAAGAGGCCGCAAAGCGATCCAAATATCCAATTGCAGATCCTACAAAAAGTGTGTTTCAGAACTGCTCAATCAAAATAAAGGTTCAACTCTGTGAGCTGAATACACACATCACAAAGAAGTTTCTCAGAATGCTTCTGGCTAGTTTTTATGGGAAGATATATTCTTTTCCACCATATGCCTCAAAGTGATCCAAATATCCACTTACAGATTATACAAAAAGAGTGTTTCAAAACTGCTCAATCAAAAGAATGGTTTAACTCTGTGAGATGAGTGCACACATCACAAAGAAGTTTCTCCGAATGCTTCTGTCTAATTTTTATGTGCAGATATTTCCTTTTCCACTATAGGCCTCAAAGCTGTCCAAATACAAATTTGAAGATGGTACGAAAAGAATGTATCCTAACTGCTCAATAAAAAGACTGTTCAACTCGGTGAGTTGAATGCACACATCACAAAAAAGTTTCTCAGAATGCTTCTGTCTAGTTTTTATGTGAAGATATTTCCTTTTCCACCATAGGCCTCAAAGCGCTCTAAATATCCAACTGCTGATTCTACAAAAAGAGTGTTTCAAAACTGCTCAATCAAAAGAAATGTTCAACTCTGTGAGTTGAATGTGCACATCACAAAGAAGTATCTTAGAATGATTCTGTCTAGTTCTTATGTGAAGATATTTCCTTTTGTATCATGGCCTCAAAGTGCTCCACATATCCACTTGCAGATTCTGCAAAAAGAGTGTTTCAAAACTGCTCAATCAAAAGAAAGGTTCAACTCTGTGAGATGAATGCACACATCACGAAGAAGTTTCGCAGAATGCTTCTGTCTAGTTTATGTGAAGACATTACCTTTTCCAACAGAGGCCGCAAAGCGCTCAAAATATCCACTTGCAGATTCTGCAAAAAGAGTGTGTCAAAACTGCTCAATCAAAAGAAAGGTTCAACTCTGTGAGTTGAATGCACACAGCACAAAGAACTTTGTCAGAATGCTTCTCTGGAGTTTTTATGTGAAGATATTTGCTTTTCCACCATAAGCATCAAAGTGCTCCAAATATCAGCTTGCACACTCTATAAAAAGGGTGTTTCAAAACTGCTCAATCAAAAGAAAGGTGCAGCTCTGTGAGATGAATGCACACATCATAAATAATTTTCTCAGTATGCTTCTGTCTGGTTTTTATGTGAAGACATTTCCTTTTCCACAATAGGCCTCAAAGCACTCCAAATATCCACTTGCAGATTCTACACAAAGAGTGTTTCAAAACTGCTCAGTCAAAAGAATGGATCAAGACAGTGATATGAATGCACACACCACAAAGAAGTTTCTCAGAATGCTTCTGTCTAGTTTTTAGGTGAAGATATTTCCTTTTACTCCATAGACCTCAAACTGCTCCAAGTATCCCTTGCAGATACTACAAAAAGAGTGTTTCAAAACTGCTCAATCAAAAGAAAGGTTGAACTCTGTGAGATGAATGCACACATGAAGAAGAAGTTTCTCAGAATGCTTCTGACAAATATTTATGTGAAGATATTTCCTTTTCCACTATAGACTGCAAAGTGCTCCAAATATCCACTTGCAGATTCTACAAAAAGAGTGTTTCAAAACTGCTCAATCAAAAGAAAGCTTTAACTCTGTGAGATGAATGCACACATCACAAAGAAATTTCTCAGAATGCTTCTGTCTAGTTTTTATGCGAAGATATTGCCTTTTCCACTTAAGACCACATAGCGCTCGAAATATCCAATTGCAGGTTATACAAAAGGAGTCTTTCAAAACTGCTCTATCAAAATAAGGGTTCCATTCTGTGAGTTGAATGCACACATCACAAAGAAGTTTCTCAGAATGCTTGTCTACTATTTATGTGAAGATATTTCCTTTTCCACTATAGGCCTCAAAGTGCTCCAAATATCCATTGGCAGATTTTACAAAAAGAGTGTTTCAAAACTGCTCAATCAATAGAAAGGTTCAACTCTGTGATATGAAGGCACAGATCACAAAGAAGTATCACAGAATGCTTCTGTCTAATTTTATTGTGAAAATATTTCATTTTCCACCATATGCCTCAAAGCACTACAAATATCCACTTGCCGACAGTAGAAAAAGAGTGTTTCAAAAGTGGTCAATAAAAAGAAAATTTCAACGCTGTGAGATGAATGCATATATCACAAAGATGTTTCTCAGAATGCTTCTGTCTAATTTTTATATGAAGATATTTCCTTTTCCCCTATAGGCCACAAAGGCCTCCAAATATCCACTTGCAGATCCTACAAAAAGAGTGTTTGAAAACTTCACAATCAAAAGAAAGTTTCAACTCTGTGAGATGAATGCACACATCACAAGGAAGTTTCTCAGAATGCTTCTGTCTACTTTATGTGAAGATATTTCCTTTTCCAACAGAGACCACAAAGCACTCAAAATATCCACTTGCAGATTCCAAAAAAAGGGCATTTCAAAACTGCTCAATCAAAAGAAAGGTTCAACTCTGTAAGTTGAACACACACAGCACAAAGAACTTTGTCAGAATGCTTCTCTGTAGTTTTTATGTGAAGATATTTCCTTTTCCCCTATAGGCCACAAAGACCTCAAAATATCCACTTGCAGATCCTACAAAAAGAGTGTTTGAAAACTTCACAATCAAAAGAAAGTTTACTCTCTGTGAGATGAATGCACACATCACAAGGAAGTTTCTCAGAATGCTTCTGTCTACTTTATGTGAAGATATTTCCTTTTCCAACAGAGGCCACAAAGCACTCAAAATATCCACTTGCAGATTCTAAAAAAAGGGCATTTCAAAACTGCTCAATCGAAAGAAAGGTTCAACTCTGTGAGTTGAACACACACAGCACAAAGAACTTTGTCAGAATGCTTCTCTGTAGTTTTTATGTGAAGATATTTCCTTTTCCACCATAAGCCTCAAAGAGCTCCAAATATCTGCTTGCACACTCTACAAAAAGAGCGTTTCAAAACTGCTCAATCAAAAGAAAGGTTGAACTCTGTGAGATGAATGCACACATCACAAAGAAGTTTCTCAGAATGCTTCTCCATACTTTTTATGTGAAGATATATCCTTTTCCACAATAGGCCACAAAGCGCTCCAAATATCCACTTGTAGATCCTAAAAAAGTGTGTTTCAAAACTGCTCAATCAAAAGAAAGATTCAACTCTGTGTGTTGAATGCACACATCACAAACAAATTTCTCAGAATGCTTCTGTGTAGTTTTCATGTGAAGATATTTCCTTTTCCACCATAGGCCTCAAAGCGCTCCAAGTATCTAATTGGAGATTCCACAAGAGTGTTTCAATACTACTCAATCAAAAGAAAGCTTCAACTCTGTGAGATGAATCCACACATCACAAAGAAGTTTCTCAAAATGCTGCTGTCTAGTTTTTATGGGAAGATATGTCCTTTTCCACCATGGGCCTCAAAGTGCTCCAAATATCCACTTGCAGATTCTACAAAAATACAGTTTCCAAACTGCTCAATAAAAAGAAAGGTTCAACTCTGTGAGATGAATGCACACATCACAAAATGTTTCTCAGAATACTTCTGTCTAGTTTTTATTGGAAGATATGTCCTTTTCCACCAATGACCTCAAAGCGCTCCAAATATCCACTTGCAGATTGTACAAAAAGAGTGTTTCAAAACTGCTCAATCAAAAGAAAAGTTCAACTCTGTGAGATGAATCCACACATCACAAAGAAGTTTCTCAAAATGCTGCTGTCTAGTTTTTATGGGAAGACATGTCCTTTTCCACCATAGGCCTCAAAGTGCTCCAAATATCCACTTGCAGATTCTACAAAAATACTGTTTCCAAACTGCTCAATGAAAAGAAAGGTTCAACTCTGTGAGATGAATGCACACATCACAAAAAGTTTTTCAGAATACTTCTGTCTAGTTTTCATTGGAAGATATGTCCTTTTCCACCAATGACCTCAAAGCGCTCCAAATATCCACTTGCAGATTGTACAAAAAGAGTGTTTCAAAACTGTTCAATCAAAAGAAAAGTTCAACTCTGTGAAATGAATGCACACATCACAAAGAAGTTTCGCAGAATGCTTCAGTCTAGCTTTAATGTGAAGATATTTCCTTTTCCAACATATGCCTCAAAGCGCTCTAATTACCATTTGCAGATACTACAAAAAGCCTGTTTCCAAACTGCTCAATAAAAAGAAAGGTTCAACTCTGTGAGATGAATGCACACATCACAAAGAAGTTTCTCAGAATGCTTCTGCCTAGTTTTTATGGGAAGATATTTCCTTTTTCACCTTAGGCCTCAAAGAGCTGCTAATATCCAATTGCAGATACTACAAAAAGACTGTTTCCAAACTGCTCAATTAAAAGAAAGTTTCAACTCTGTGAGATGAAAGCACACATCCCAAAGAAGTTTCTCAGAAAGTGTCTGTCTAGTTTTTATGGGAAGATATTTCGTATCGCCCCATAGGTCTCAATGGGCTCACAAATATCCCTCTGCAGATTCTACAAAACGACGGTTTTCAAACTGTTCAATCAAAGGAAAGGTTCAACTTTGTGAAATGAATGAACCCATGAGAAAGAAGTTTCTCAGAATGCTTGTGTCTAATTTTTATGTGAAGATGTTTCCTTTTCCACCAGAGGCCTCAAAGCGCTTCAAATATACACTTGCAGATCCTGCAAAAAGAGTGTTTCAAAACTGCTCAATCAAAAGAAAGATTGAAGTCTGTGAGATGAATGTACACATCACAAAGAAGTTTCTAAGAATGCTTCCATCTGATTTTTATGTGAAGATATTTCCTTTTTCACCATAGGCCTCATTACACTCCAAATATCCATTTATAGATAATACAAATGACTGTTTCCAAACTGCTCAATCAAAAGAAAGTTCAACTGCGTGTGATAAATGCACACATCACAAGGAAGTTGCTCAGAAAGTTTTTGTCTAGTTTTTAGGTGAAGATATTTCCTACTTTCCAAGAGGCCTCAATGGGCTCGCAAATATTCTCTTTCAGATTCTACTAAATGACTGTATCGAAGCTGCTCAATCAAAAGAAAGGTTCAACAGTGTGAGAAGAAAGCACACATTCCTAGGAAGTTTCTCAGAACTCTTCTTTCTAGTTTTTTATGTGAAGATATTTCCTTTTCCACTATAGGCCTCAAAGTGTTCCAAATATCCACTTGCAGATACTACAAAGAGAGTGTTTCAAAACTGCTCAATCAAAAGAAAGGTTCAACTTTGTGAGATGAATGCAGACATCACAAAGAAGTTTCTCAGAATCCTTCTGCCTTGTATTTATGGGAAGATATTTCCTTTTTCACCATAGGTGTCAAAGCACTGGTAATATCCATTTCCAGATACTACAAAAAGACTTTTCCCAAACTGCTCAATCAAAAGAAAGTTTTAACTCTGTGAGATGAAAGCAAATATCACAAAGAAGTGTCTCAGAAATTTTCTGTCTAGTTTTTATGTGAACATATTTCCTATCGCCCCATAGGCCTCAATCAGCTCAAAAATATCCTTCTGCAGATTATACAAAACAAATGTTTCCAAACCATTCAATCACAGGAACGGTTTAACTTTGTGAAATGAATGCGCCCATCACAGAAAAGTTTCTCAGAATGTTTCTGTCTCGTTTTTATGTGAAGAAGATTCCTTTTCCACCATATTCCTCATGTGCTTCAAACATACATTGCAGATTCTGCTAAAAGAGTGTTTCAAAACTGCTCAATCAAAAGAAAAGTTCTAATCTGTGAGATGAATGCACATATCAAAAAGAAGTTTCTATGAATAATTCTGTCTGATTTATATTGAAGATATTTCCTTTTTCACCGTAGGCCTCAGAGAGCTTAAAATATCCATTTGCAGATACTACAAAAAGACTGTTTCCAAACTGCTCATTCAAAATAAAGTTCAACTCAGTGAGATGAATGCACACATCACAAAGAAGTTTCTGAGAAAGATTCTGTCTAGTTTTTATTTGAAGATATTTCCTATTTCCCCAGAGGCATCAATGGGCTCAAAAATATTCCTTTGCATATTCTACAAAATGACTGTTTAGAAGCTGCTCAATCAAAAAAAGGTTCAACACTGTGAGATAAATGCGCACATTCAAAGGAAGTTTCTCAGAATTCTTCTGTCTAGTTTTTACGTGAGCATATTTCCTTTTTCACTATAGGCCACAAAGTGCTTAAAATATCCACTTGCAGACTCTACAAAAAGAGTGTTTCCACACTGCTCAATCAAAAGAACCAGTTCAACTGTGTGAGATGAAGGCACACATCACAAAGAAATTTCTCCAAAAGCTTCTGCCTAGTTTCTATGGGAAGATATTTCATTTTTCAACATAGGCCAAAAGTGCTCCAAATATCCATTTGCAGATTCTACAAAAAGACTGGTCCCAAACAGCTCAATCAAGAGAAAGTTTCAACCTGGTGAGATGAAGTCACACATGACAAAATAGTTTCTCAGAAAGTATCTGTCTAGTTTTTATGTGAAGATATTTCCTATCTCCCCAGAAGCCTCAATGGGCTCACAAATATCCCTTTGCAGATTCTACAAAACTACAGTTTCACAACTGCTGAATCAAAAGAAAGGTTCAACTCTGTGAGATGAATGCGCAGATCACAAATAAGTTTCTCAGAATGCTGCTGTCTAGTTTTTATGGGAAGATGTGTCCCTTTCCACCATAGGCCTGAAAGTGCCCCAAATATCCACTTGCAGATTGTACAAAAAGACTGTTTCAAAACTGCTCAATCAAAATAAAAGTTCAAATCTGTGAGATGAAAGCACACATCAGAAAGAAGTTTCTCAGAAAGTTTCTGTCTAGTTTTTATGTGAAGATATTTCCTATCACCCCATACGTCTCAATGGGCTCAAAAATATCCCTCTGCAGATTCTACGAAACGATTGTTTCCAAACTGTTCAATACAAGGAAAGGTTCAACTCCGTGAAGTGAATACACCCATCAGGCAGAAGTTTCTCAGAATGCTTCTGACTAGTTTTTATGTGACAATGTTTCCTTTTCTACCATAGGCCTCAAAGAGTTACAAATATCCACTTGAAGATACTACAAAAAGTGTGTTTCAAAACTGCTCAATCAAAAGAATGGTTCAACTTCGTGAGATGAATGCACACATCACAAAGAAATTTCTCAGAATGCTTCTGTCTAGTTTTTATGAGAAGATATTTCCTTTTCCACCATAGGCCTCAAAGCGCTCCAAATATCCACTTGCACAGTCTACGAAAGAGTTTTTCAAAACTTCTCAACCAAAAGAAAGTTTCATCTCTGTGACATGAATACACACATCACAAAGAAGTTTCTCAGAATGCTTCTGCCTAGTTTTTAGGGGAAGATATTTCCTTTTTCACCATAGGCCTCAAAGTGCCCTAAATATCCTTTTGCAGGCGAGAAAAAGACTGTGTCCAAACTGCTCAATCAAAAGAAAATTTCAGCTCTGTGAGATGAATGCACAAATCACAAAGAAAACTTTCTCAGAATTCTCCTTGCTTGTTTTTACGTGAAGATATTTCCTTTTCCAACACAGGCATCTAAGCACTCCAAATATCCAATTGAAGATTCCACAAAAAGAGTGTTTCAAAACTGCTCAATCATAAGATAGGTTTACCTTTGTGAGATGAATGCACACATCGCTAAGAAGTTTTTCAGAATGCTTCTGTCTACTTTTCACATGAAGTTATTTCCTTTTCCACTATAGGCCTCAAATCACTCCAAATATCCACTTGCAGATCCTACAAAAAGAGTGTTTCCAAACTGCTAAATCAAAATAAAGGCTCAACTCTGTGAGATGAATGTACACATCACAAAGAGGTTTCTCAGAATGCTTCTGTCTAGTTTTTATGTGAAGATATTTCTTTTTCCACCAAAGGCCTCAAAGCACTCCAAGTATCCACTTGCAGATTCTACAAAAAGAGTGTTTAAATACTTCTCAAAAAAGAAAGATTCAGCTCAGTGAGATGAATGCATACATCACAAAGAACATTCTCAGAATGCTTCTGTCTAGCTTTTATGTGAAGATATTTCCTTTTCCATCATAGGCATCAAAGTGCTCCAAATATCCACTTGCAGATTCTACAAAAAGAGTGCGTTAAAACTGCTCAATCAAAAGAAAGTTTCAACACAGGGAGTTGAATGCACACATCACAAAGAAGTTACTCAGAATGCTTGTGTCTGATTTTTATGTGAAGATATTACCTTTTCCACAAAAGGCCTCAAAGTGCTCCATATATCCCCTTGCAGATTCTACAAAAAGAGTGATTAAATACTTTTCAAAAAAGAAAAGTTCAACTCTGTGAGATGAATGCTGAAATCGAAGAGAATTCTCTCAGAATGCTTCTTTCTGGGTTTTATGTGAAGATATTTCCTTTTCCTCTATAGGCCTCAAAACGCTACAAATATCCAGTTTCTGATACTACAAAAAGAGTTTGTTAAAACTACTCAATCAAAAGAAAACTTCAACACAGGGAGTTGAATGCACACATCACAAAGAAGTTTCTCTGAATGGTTGTGTCTGATTTTTTGTGAAGATATTTCCTTTTCCACCATAGGCCTCAACGTTCTCCAAATATCCAGTTGCAGATTCTGAAAAAAGAGTGTTTCAAAACTGCTCAATCAAAAGAAAGTTTCAACTCTGTGAAATGAATGCACACATGACAAAGAAGTTCCTCAGAGTGCTTCTGTCAAGTTTTTATGTGAATATATTTCCTTTTTATTTATTTATTTATTTATTATTTTATTATTATTATACTTTAAGTTTTAGGGTACATGTGCACAATGTGCATGTTAGTTACATATGTATACATGTACCACGCTGGTGTGCTGCACCGATTAACTCGTCATTTAGCATTAGGTATATCTCCTAATGCTATCCCTGCCCCCTCACCCCACCCCACAACAGTCCCCAGAGTATGACGTTCCCCTTCCTGTGTCCATGTGTTCTCATTGTTCAATTCCCACTTATGAGTGAGAATACGCAGTGTTTGGTCTTTTGTTCTTGCGATAGTTTACTGAGAATGATGATTTCCAATTTCATCCATGTCCCTACAAAGGACATGAACTCATCATTTTTATGGCTGCATAGTATTCCATGGTGTATATGTGCCATATTTTCTTAATCAAGTCTATCATTGTTGGACATTTGGGTTGGTTCCAACTCTTTGCTGTTGTGACTAGTGCCACAATAAACATATGTGTGCATGTGTCTTTATAGCAGCATGATTTATAGTCCTTTGGTTATATACCCAGCAATGGGATGGCTGGGTCAAATAGTATTTCTAGTTCTAGATCCCTGAGGAATCACCACACGGACTTCTACAATGGTTGTACTAGTTTACAGTGCCACCCACTGAGTAAAAGTGTTCCTATTTCTCCACATCCTCTCCAGCACCTGTTGTTTCCTGATTTTTTAATGATTGCCATTCTAATTGGTGTGTGACGGTATCTCCTTGTGGTTTTGATCTGCATTTCTCTGATGGCCAGTGATGGTGGGCATTTTTTCATGTGTTTTTTGGCTGCATAAACATATTCTTTTGAGAAGTGTATGTTCATGTCCTTCGCCCACTTTTTGAAGGGGTTGTTGGTTTGTTTTTTTTCCTTTTTAAACGTATGCCTCAAAGCACTCCAAATATCCATTTGCAGTTACTACAGAAACACTGTTTCCAAACTGCTCAATCAAAAGAAAGGTTCAACTCTGTGAAATGAATGCACACACCAGAAGGAAGTTTCTCAGAATGCTTCTGTCTGGTTCTTATCTGAAGATATTCTCTATTTCCTCAGAGGCCTCAGTAGGCTGAAAAATATCCCTCTACAGATTCTACAAAACTACCGTTTCCAAACTGCTCAATCAATACAAAGGTTCAACTCTGCGAAATTAATGCACACAAGACAAAGAAGTTTCTCAGAATGCTTCTGTATATTTTTAATGTGAAGATATTTCCTTTTTCACCATAGGTCTCAAAGCCCTCCAAATATCCACTTGCAGATTCTACAAAAAGACGGATTCCAAACTGCCCAATCAAAACAAAATTTCAACTCTGTGAGATGAAAGCACATATCACAAAGAATTTTCTCAGAATTTTTCTGTTTAGTTTTTATGTGAAGATATTTCCTATTACCCCATAAGCCTCAATGGGAACAAAAATACCCCTTCACAGATCCTACAAAACGATGGGCTCCAAACTGCTCAATCAAAAGAAAGTTAAATCCTGTGAGATGAATGCACATATCACAAAGAAGTTTCTCAGAATGCTTCTGTCAAGTTTCTATGTGAAGATATTACCTTTTCCAATATAGGACACAAAACGCTCCAAATATCGACTTGCAGATTCTACAAAAAGAGTTTTTCAAAACTGCTCAATCAAAAGAAAGCTTCAAGTCTGTGAGATGAGTGCACACATCACAAAGAAGTTTCTCAGAATGCTTCTGTCTAGTTTTTATGTGAAGATATTTCCTTTTCCGCCATAGGCCTCAAAGCAAAAAAAAGTATCTGTTTGCAGATTCCAAAAAAGACTGTTTCCAAACTGCTCAATCAAAAGAAAAGTTCAACTCTGTGAGATGAATGCACACATCACAAAGAAGTTTCTCAGAAAGTTTCTCTCTAGTTTTTATATGAAGATCTTTCCTATCACCCCATAGGCATTAATGGGTTCACAAATATCCCTCTGTAGATTCTACAAAATGACAGTTGGCAAACTGCTCAATCAAAGGAATGGTTCAACTCTGTGAAATGAATGCACACAACACAAAGAAGTTTCTCAGAATGCTTCCGTCCTGTTTTAATGTGAAGATATTTCCTATTCCACCATAGGCCTCAAAGCGCTCCAAATATCCACTTGCAGATTCTACATAAAGAGTGTTTCAAAATTGCTCAATCAAAATAAAGTTTCAAATCTGTGAGATTAATGCACACATCACAAAGCAGTTTCTAGGAATCCTTCTGTCTGGTTTTTATGTGAGGATACTTCATTTTTCACCACAGGCCTCAAAGAGCTCCAAAAATTCATTTGCAGATACTACAAAAAGATTGTTTCCAAACTGCTCAATAAAGAGAAAGGTTCAAATATGAGAGATGAAACCACACACCACAAAGGTGTTTCTCAGAATTCTTCTTTGTGGTTTTTCTGTGAAGATATTTCCTTTTCCACCATAGGTCTCAAAGTGCAACAAATATCCACTTGCTGATTCTATAAAAAGTGTTTCAACACTGCTCAATCAAAACAAGGGTTCACAACCCAAATGTCCAACAATGATAGACTGGATTAAGAAAATGTGGCACATATACACCATGGAATACTATGCAGCCATAAAAAATGATGAGTTCATGTCCTTTGTAGGGACATGGATGAAATTGGAAACCATCATTCTCAGTAAACTATCGCAAGAACAAAAAACCAAACACCGCATATTCTCACTCATAGGTGGGAATTGAACAATGAGATCACATGGACACAGGAAGGGGAATATCACACTCTGGGGACTGTGGTGGGGTCGGGGGAGGGGGGAGGGATAGCATTGGGAGATATACCTAATGCTAGATGACACGTTAGTGGGTGCAGTGCACCAGCATGGCACATGTATACATATGTAACTTACCTGCACAATGTGCACATGTACCCTAAAACTTAAAGTACAATAAAAAAAAAAGGGTTCAACTCTGTGAGCTCTGTGAGATGAATGCACACATCACAAAGAAGTTTCTGAGAATGCTTCTGTCTAGTTTTTATGTGAAGATATTTTCTTTTCCACCATAGGCCTCAAAGCTCTCCAAATATCCATTTGCAGATACTACAAAAAGACTGTTTCCAAACTGCTGAATCAAAGGAAAGGTTCAACTCCATGAGTTGAATGCACACATCACAAAGAAGTTTCTCAGAAAGCTTCTGACTAGTTTTTATGTGAAGATGTTTTCTTTTCCACCACAGGCCTCAAAGTGCTAAAAATATTCACTTGAAGATTCTACAAAAAGAGAGTTTCAAAACTGCTCAAACAAAAGAAAGGTTCAACTCTGTGACATTAATGCACACATCACAAAGAGGTTTCTCAGAATGCTTCTGTCTAGTTTTATGTGAAGATATTTCCTTTTCTACTATAGGCCCCAAAGCACTCCAAATATCAACTTGCAGATTCTGCAGAAAGAGTTTTTCAAAGCTGCTCAATCAAAAGAAAAGTTCAACTCTCTGAGATGAATGCACACATCATGAAGAAGTTCCTCAGAATGCTTCTGTCTATTTTTAATGTGAAGATATATCCTTTTCTACCAAAGACCACAAAGTGCTCCAAATATCCCCTTGCAGTTTCTACTAAAAGAGTGTTTCCAAACTGCTCAATCAAAAGAAAGTTTCAACTCTGTGAGATGAATGCACACATCACTGAGAAATTTCTCAGTAATTTTCTGTCTAGTTTTTATGTGAAGATATTTCCTTTCCTACTATAGGCCTGAAAGTGCTCCAAATATCCATTTGCATATACTGCAAAAAGACTGTTTCCAAACTGCTCAATCAAAGGAAAGGTCCAACTCTGTGAGTTGAATGCACGCATCTCAAAGAGATTTCTCAGAATGGTTCTGTCTAGTTTTTATGTGAAGATATTTGCTTTTCCACCAGTGGCCTCAAACTCTCCAAATATCCACTTGAAGATTGTACAATAAGAGTGTTTCAAAACTGCTCAATCAAAAGAAAGGTTTAACTCTGTGAGATGAATGTACACCTCACAAAGCACTTTCTCAGAATGCTTCTGTCTAGTTTTTATGTGAAGATATTTCGTTTTTCACCATAGGCTGCAAGGCGTTCCAAATATCCCCTTCAGATTCTACAGAAAGAGTGTTTCAAAACTGTTCAATCAAAAGAAAGGTTCAACCCTGGTGATGAATGCACGCATCACAGAGCAGTTTCTCATAATGTTTCTGTCTAGTTTTCGTGTGTATATATTTCCTTTTCCACCACAGGCCCCAAAGCACTCCAAATATCCATTTGCAGGTACTACAAAAAGACTGTTTCCAAACTGCTCAATCAAAAGAAAAGTTTAAATCTGTGAGTTGAATGAGCACATCACAAATAAGTTTCTCAGAATGCTTCTGTCTAGTTTTTATGTGAAGATATTTCTTTTTCCACCACAGGCCACAAAGCATTCCAAATATCCACTTGAAGATTCTACAAAAAGAGTGCTTCAAAAATGCTCAATCAAAAGAAAGGTTCAACTCTTTGAGATGGATGCACATATCACAAAGAAGCTTCTCAGAATGCTTCTGTCTAGTTTTTATGTGAAGATATTTCCTTTTCCACCATAGGCCCCAAGTCTCTCCAAATATCTACTTTCAGAATCTCCAAAAAGCGTTTTGAAACTGCTGTATCAAAGAAAGTTTCAAGTCTGTGATATGACTGCACACAACACCGAGAAGTTTCTCAGAGTGCTTCTGTGTATTTTTTTATGTGAAGATATTTCCTTTTCCACTATCGGCCACAGAGCACTCCAAATATACACTTGCAGAACCTACAAAAAGAGTGTTTCAAACCTGCTCTATCAAAAGAAAGATTTAACTCTACGAGATGAATGGACACATCACAAAGAAGTTTCTCAGTATGCTTTTGTCTAGTTTTTATGTGAAGATGTTTCCTTTTCCAATCCATGATGTAAAGTGATCCAAATATCCACTGGTAGATATTACAAAAAGACTGCTTCCAAACTGCTCGATCAAAAGAAAGGTTCAACTCTGTGAGTTGAATGCACACATCACAAAGAATTTTCTCAGAATGCTTCTGTCTAGTTTTTATGTGAAGATATTTCCTTTTCCACCATAGGCCTCAAAGCGCTCAAAATGTCCAATTGCAGATACTACAGAAAGATGCTTTCCAAGCAGCTCAATCAGGGTAAATGTTCAGCTCTTTGAATTGAATGCACATCACAAAGTAGTTTCCCTGAATGCTTCCGTCTTGTATATATGTGAAGATATTTCCTTTTCCAATATAGGCCACCAAGCGCTACAAATATCAACTTGCAGATTCTGCAAAAACAGTGTTTCCAAACTGCTCAATCAAAAGAAACTTTCAACTCTGTGAGTTGAATGCACACATCACAAATAATTTTCTCAGAATGCTTCTTTCTAGTTTTCATATGACAATATTTCCTTTTCCACAACGTGACTCAAATTGCTCCAAAAATCCACAAGCAGATTCCATAAACAGAGTATTTCAAAACTGCTGAATCAAAAGAAAGTTTCAGCTCTGTAAGATGAATGCACACATCACAAAGAAGATTCTCAGAATGCTTCTGTCTAGTTTTCATGTGAAGATATTTCCTTTTCCACATTAGGCCTCAAATCTCTTCAAATATCCCTTGCAGATTCTACAAAAATAGTGTTTCAAAACTGCTCAATCGAAAGAAAGGATCAAGTCTGCGAGATGAATGCACATCTCATAAAGAAGTTTCTCAAAGTGCTTCTGTCTAGTTTTTATTTGAAGATATATCCTTTTCCACAATAGGCTGCAAAGCGCTCCAAATATCCACTTGCAGATTCTTCAAAAAGAGTGTTTCAAAACTGCTCAATCAAAAGAAAGGTTCAACTGTGTTAGTTGAATGCACACATCACAAAGAAGCTTCTCACAATGCTTCCGTCTAGTTTTTAGGTGAAGATATTTCCTTTTCCACCATAGACCCCAAAGTACTCCAAATATCCCCTGGTAGAGTCTACAAATGTGCGTTTCAAAACTACTCAATCAAAAGAAACGTTCAACTCAGTGAGATGAATGCACACATCACAAAGTTGTTTCTCAGAGTGATTCTGTCCAGTTTTTATTTGAAGATATTTTCTTTTACACCATAGGCCCCAAAGTGCTCCCAATATCCACCTTCAGATTCTACAAAAAGTGTGTTTCAAAACTGCTTAATCAAAAGAAAGGTTCAAACCTGTGAGTTGAATGTACACATCACAAAGAAGTTTCTCAGAGTGCTTCTGTCTAGTTTTGATGTGAAGATATTTCCTTTAACACCGTAGGACTGGAAGTGCTCCAAATATCCACTTGCAGATTCTACAAAAAGAGTGTTTCAAAACTGCTCAATCAAAAGAAAAGTTCAACTCTGTGAGAAGAATGCACACATCACAAAGAAGTTTCGCAGAATATTTCTGTATAGTTTTTATGTGAAGATATTTCCTTTTCCACTCGAGGCTGGAAAGCGCTTCAAATATCCAATTGCAGATTCTACAAAAGAGTGTTTCAAAACTGCTCAATCAAAGGAAAGGTCCAATTCAGTGAGCTGAATGTGCACATCAGAGGGAAGTTTCTCAGAATACCTCTGTGCAGTTTTTATGTGAAGATATTTACTTTTCCACCATAAGTCCCAAACCTCTCCAAATATCCACTTGCAGATTCAACAAAAAGTGTGTTTCAAAACTGCTCAATCAAAAGAAAGGTTCAACTCTGTGAGTTGAATGCACACATCACAAAGAAGTTTCCCAGAATGTGTCTGTGTAGCTTTTATGCAAAGTTATTTCCTTTTCCACAATACTCCACAAAGACCTCCGAGTAGCTACTTGCAGATTCCACAAAAAGAGTTTCAAAACTGCACAATCAAAAGAATGGTTCAACGCTGTGATTTGAATACACACATCACAAAGTCGTTTCTCAGAATGCTTTTCCGTAGTTTTTATATGAAGATATATCCATTTCCACCATTCTCTCCAAAGCGTTCCAAATATCCACTTGCAGATTCTACAAAAAGAGTGTTTCAAAACTGTTCAATCGAATTAAAGGTTCATCTCTTTGAGATGAATGCACACAACACAAAGAAGTTTCTCAGAATGCTTCTGTGTAGTTTTTATGTGAAGGTATTTCCTTTTACACCATAGGCCACAAAGGGCTCCAAATATTCCCTTACAGATTCTACATAAAGAGAGTTTCAAAACTCCTCTATCAAAAGATAGATACAACTCTGAGTTAAATGCACACATCTCAAAGAAGTTTCTCAGAATGCTTCTGTTTAGTTGTTATGTGAAGATATTTCCATTTCTACAATATGCCTCAAAGCGCTCCAAGTATCCACTTGTAGATTTTACTAAAAGAGTGTTTCCAAACTGCTCAATCAAAAGAAAGTTACAACTCTGGGAGATGAATGCACATATTACACAGAAGTTTCTCAGAATGCTTCTGTGTAGTTTTTATGTGAAGATATATCCTTTTCCACAATGGGCCTCAAAGCGCTCTGTGACATGAATGAACACTTAAAAAGACATTTCTCAGAATGCTTCTGTGTAGTTTTTATGTGAAGATATTTCCTTCTCCACCATAGGCCACAAAGGGCTCCAAATATCCACTTGCAGATTCTACAAAAAGAGAGTTTCAAAATTGCTCTATCAAAAGATAGGTTCAACTCTGTGAGCTGAATGCACTCATCACAAACAAGTTTCTCAGAATGCTTCTGTGTAATTTTTATGTGAAGATATTTCCTTTTCCACAATAGGCCTCTAAGCACTACAAATATCCACTTGCAGATTCTACAAATAGTGGTTTTCAAAACTGCTCAATGAAAAGAAATGTTCACCACAGTGTGTTGAACGAACATTTCACAAAGAAGTTTTTCAGAATGCTTCTGTGTAGCTTTAAGTGAAGATATTTCCTTTTCCACCATAGGCCTCAATGCACTCCAAATATCTAGTTGCAGATTCTACAAAAAGTGTGTTTCAAAATTGCTCAATCAAAAGAAAGTTGAACTATGTGAGATGAATGCGCACCTTGCAAAGTAGTTTCTCAGAATGCATCTGTGATGTTTTTATGTAAAGATATTTTCTTTTCCACAGTAGGACTCAAGGGGCTCCAAATATCCACTTGCAGATTCTACAAAAAGACTGTTTCAAAAGTGCTCAGTGAAAAGAAAGGTTCAACACTCTGAGATGAATCCACACATGACAATGAAGTTTCTCAGAATGCTTCTGTGTAGTTTTTATGTGAAGTTATTTCCTTTTCCACCAGAGGCCAAAAAAGGTTCCAAATATCCACTTGCAGATTCTACAAAAAGAGAGTTTGAAAACTGTGCAATCAAAAGATAGGTTCAAATCTGTGGTTTGAATACACACATCAGAAAGAAGTTTCTCAGAATGCTTCTGTGTAGATTTTATGTGAAGATATATCCTTTTCCACCATAGACCCCAATGCGCTCAAAATATCCACTTAGAGATACTACAAAAACAGTGTTTGAAAACTGCTCAATCAAAAGAAAAGTTCAACTCTGTGAGATGAACGCACACATCACAAAGAAATTTGTCAGAATGTTTCTGTGTTGTTTTCATGTGAAGATATTTCCTTTTCTACAATAGGCCTCAAAGTGCTCCAAATATCCACTTGCAGATTCTACAAAAATAGTGTTTCAAAACAGCTCAATCAAAAGAAATGTTGAACTCTGTGATATGAATGCACACATCACCAAGAAGTTTTTTTCAGAATGCTTCTGTGAAGTTTTTATGTGAAGATATTTCTTTTTCCACCACAGGCAGCAAGGGGCTCTAAATATCCACTTGCAGATTCTACAAAAAGAGATTTTCAAAGCTCCTCAATAAAAAGTTAAGTTCAACTCTGTGAGTTGAATGCTCACATCACAAAGAAGTTTCTTTGAATGCTTCTGTGTAGTTTTTATGTGAAGATATTTCCTTTTACACCATAGGCCTCAAAGCGCTCCAAATATCCACCTGCAGATTCCAAAAAAAAAGTGTTTCAATACTGCTTATCAAAAGATAGGTTCAACTCCGAGAGTTGAATGCACACATCACAAATAAGTTTCTCAGAATGCTTCTGTGTATTTTTTATGGGAAGATATTTCCTTTTCCTCAATATGCCTCCTAGCACTGCAAATATCCACTTGCAGATCACCCTAAAAGAGTATTTCCAAACTGCATAGTCAAAAGAAAGGTGAAATGAATGCACAATCACAAAAATTATCTCAGACTCCTTCTGTGTAGTTTTTATGTGAAGATATTTTCTTTTTTGCAATAGGCTCAAAGCTCTCCAAAGATCCACTTGCAGATTCTACAAAAGAGTTTTTCAAAACTGCTCAATCAAAATAAAGGTTCAACTCTGTCAGATGAATGCACACATCACAAGGGAGTTTGTTAGAATGCTTCTGTGTAGTTTTTATGTGAAGATATTTCCTTTTCCACCTTAGGCCACAAAAGGCTCCACATATCCACTTGCAGTTTCTACAAAAAGAATGTTTCCAAACTGGTCAATCAAAAGAAATGTTCAACTCTGTGAGTTGAATGCACACATCACAAAGAAGTTTCACTGAATTCTACTGTGTAGTTTCTATGTGAAGATATTTCCTTTTCCACAATAGGCCTCAAAGCATTCCAAGTATCCACTTGCAGATTCTACAAAGAGATTGTTTCAAACCTGCTCAATCAAAAGAATGGTTCAACTCTGTGAGAGTAATGCACACATCACAAAGAAGTTTCTCAGAATGTTTCTGTGTAGTTTTTATGTGAAGGTATTCCCTGTTTCACCATATGCCGCAAAGGGCTCCAAATAGCAACTTGCAGTTTCTACAAAAAGAGTGTTTCAAAACTTCTCCATCAAAAGAAAAGTTCAACTCTGTGAGATGAATGCACACATCACAAAGAAGTTTCTCACAATGTTTCTGTGTAGTTTCTATCTGAAGATATTTCCTTTTTTCATATAGACCGCAAAGGGCTCCAAATATCCAGTTGCAGATTCTACAAAAACAGTGTTTCAAAACTGCACAATCAAAAGAAATATTCATCTCTGTGAGACGAATGCACACATCACAAAGAAGTTTCTCAGAATGCTTCTGTGAAGTTTTTATGTGAAGATATTTCCTTTTCCACTATAGGGTTAAAATCGTCCAAGTTTCCACTTGCAGATTCTACAAAGAGAGTGTTTCAAAACTGCTCAATCATAAGATAGGTTCCAATCTATGAGATGAATGCACACATCACAAAGAAGTTTCTCAGAATGCTTCTGTGTAGTATTTATTTCATGATATTTCCTTTTCCTCCATAGGCTGCAAAGGGCTTCAAATATCCACTTGCAGATTCTACAAAAAGTGTGTTTCAAAAGTTCTCAATCAAAAGAAACTTTCAACTCTGTGGGATGAATGCACACATCACAGAGATGTTTCTCAGAATGCTTCTGTGTGGTTTTTACATGAAGATATTTGTTTTTCCACAGTAGGCCTCAAAGCATTCCAAATATCCACTTGCAGATTCTATAAAAACAGTGTTTCAAAACTGCTCAACCAAAAGAAACATACAGCTCTGTTAGATGAATACGCACATCACAAAGTAGTTGCTCAGAATAATTCTGTGTAGGTTTTATGTGAAGCTATTTCCTTTTACCCAACTGGCCACAAAGCACTCCAAATATTCCCCTGAAGATTCTGCAAAGAGAGTGTTTCAAAGCTGCTCAGACATAAGATAGGTTCATCTCAGTGAGATGAATGCACACATCACAAAGAAGTTTCTCAGAATGCTTCTGTGTAGATTTTATTTGAAGATATTTCCTTTGCCTCCATGAACCACAAAGGACTCAAAATATCCACTTCCAAATCCTAGAAAAAGAGAAATCCATAACTGCTTAATCGAAATATAGGTTCAAGTTTGTGAGTTGAATGAACACATCACAAAGAAGTTTCTCAGAATGCTTCTGTGTAGTTTTTATGTGAAGATATTTCCTTTTCCAAAATAGGCCTCAAAGTCCACAAAATATCCACTTGCAGATTCTACAAAAACAGTATTTAAAAACTGCTCAATCAAAAGACAGATTAGACTCTGTGAGTTGAATGCACACATCACAAAGAACTTTCTCAGAATGCTTTTGTGTAGTTTTTATGTGAACATATTTCCTTTTCCACAATATGCCTCAAATCTTTCCAAGGATCCACTTGTAGATTCTACAAAGAGAGTGTTTGAAAACTGCTAAACCATAACATAGATTCAACTCTGAGAGATGAATGCACACATCACAAAGCAGTTTCTCAGAATGATTCTGTGTAGTTTTTATGTGAAGATATTTCCTTTTCCACTATAGGCCTCAAAATGCTCACAATATCCAATTGCAGATTCTATAGAAAGAGTGTTTCAAAACTGCTCAATCAAAATAATGTTTCAACTGTGTGAGATGAATGCACACATCACAAAATTTTCACAGAATGCTTCTGTGTAGTTTTTATGTGAAGATAATTGCTTTTACAAAGTAGACCTCAAATCTCTCCAAATATCCACTTGCAGATCCTACAAAAACTGTGTTTCAAAACTTCTCAATGAAAAGAAAGGTTCAACTATGTGAGATGAATGCACACATCAAAAAGAAGTTTCTCAGAATGCTTCTGTGTAGTTTTTATGTGAAGATATTGCCTTTTCGACAATAGACTTCAGTGCGCACCAAATATCCACTTGCAGAATCTACAAAAGGAGTGTTTCAAAACTCCTCCATCAAAAGAAAGGTTCAACTCTGTGAGATGAATGCAAATAGAACCTAGAAATTTCTGAGAATTCTTCTCTGTAGTTTTTATTTGAAGATATTTCCTTTGCCTCCATAGACCGCAAGAGGCTCCAAATATCCACTTCCAGATTCTAGAAAAAGAGAGAACCAAAACTGCTCAATCAAAAGATAGGTTGAAGACTGTGAGTTGAATACACACATCACAAAGAAGTTTCTCAGAATGCTTCTGTGTAGTTTTTTTGTGAAGATATTTCCTTTTCCAAAATAGGCCTCAAAGACCACCAAATATCCACTTGCTGATTCTACAAAAAGAGTGTTTCAGATCTGCTCAATCAAAAAACAGGCTCAACTCTGGGAGATGAATGCACACATCACAAGGAAGTTTCCCAGAATGCTGCTGTGTAGTTTTTATGTGAAGATATTTCCTTTCCCAAACTGGGCCTCAAAGTGCTCCAAATATCCACTTGCAGATACTGCAAAAAGAGTGTTTCAAAACTGCTCAATAATAAGATAGGTCCAACTCTTTGTGATGAATGCACACATCACAAAGAAGTTTCTCAGAAAGTTTCTGTGTAGTTTTTATTTGAAGATATTTCCTTTTCCACCATAGGCTGCAAACGGATCAATATGTCCACTTGCAGAAAATAAAAAAAGTGAGATTCAAAACTGCTCAATCAAATAAAGGTGCAAATCTGTGAGATGAATGCTCACATTACAAAGAAGTTTCTCAGAATGCTTCTGTGTAGTTTTTATGTGAAGATATTTCCTTTTCCACCATAGGCTACAAGGATTTCCTAATATTCACTTGCAGATTCTACAAAAAGAGAGTCTCAAAACTGGTCAATCGAAAGATAGGTTCAACCCTGTGAGTTGAATGCACACACCACAAAGAAGCTTGTCACAATAGTTTTGTGTAGTTTTTATGTGAAGGTATTTCCTTTTCCACCGTAGTCTTCAAAGTGCTCCAAGTATTAAATTGCAGATTCTACAAAAAGAGTGTTTCCAAACTGCTCAAACTAAAGAAAGGTTCAACTCTGTCAGATGAATGCACACATCGCATAGAAGTTTCTCAGAATGTTTCTGTATAGTTTTTATGTGGAGATATTTCCTTTTCCACAATAGGCCTTAAAGCGCTCCAAATATCCAACTGCAGATTCTACAAAAAAAAAGTGTCTCAAAACTGCTGAATCAACAGAAAATTTCAAATCTGTGAGATGAATGCACACGTCACAAAGAAGTTTCTCAGAATGTTTCTGTGTAGTTTTAAAGTGAAGATATTTCCTTTTACACCAGAGGCTGCAAATGGCTCCAAATATCCACTTGCAGGTTCTACAAAAAGAGAGTTTCAAAACTTCTTAATCAAACGATAGGTTCAACTCTGGGAGATGAATCCACACGTCACAAAGAAGTTTCTCAGAATGCCTCTGTGTATTTTTCATGTGACGACATTTTCTTTACCACCGTAGGACTCAAAACCCTCCAAATATCCACGTACAGATTCTACAAAAGGAGTGTTTCCAAACTGCACAATCAAAAGAAAAGTTCAACTCTGTGAGATGAATGCACACATCACAAAGAAGTTTCTCAGGATGCTTCTGTGTAGTTTTTATGTGAGGATATTTCCTTTTACACCATAGGCTGCAAAGGGTTCCCAATATCCACTTGCAGATTCTACAAAAAGAGAGTTTCAAAACTGCTGTATCAAAAGATAGGTTCAACTATGTGACTTGAATACAAACATAACAAAGAAGTTTCTCAGAATGCTTCTGTGAAGTTTTTACGTGAAGATATTTCCTTTTCCATCATAGGCCACATAGCACTCCAAATATCCACTTGCGGATTCTACAAAAACAGTGTTTCCAAGCTGCACAATCAAAAGAAACGTTCAACTCCTTGAGATGAATGCACACATGACAAAGAAGTTTCTCAGAATGCTTCTGTGTAGTTTTTATGTGAGGATATTTTCTTTTCCACAATAGGCCTCAAAGCACTCCAAATATCCACTTGCAGATTCTACAAAAGAGAGTTTCAAAACTGGTCAATCAAAAGATAGGTTTAGCTCTGTGATTTGAATGCACACATCACAAAGAAGTTTCTCAGAATGCTTTTGTGTAGTTTTTATGTAAAGATATTTCCTTTTCAGCCATAGGCCTCAATTCCCTCCAAATATTCACTTGCAGATTCTATAAAAAGAGTGTTTCTAAACTGCCCAAACAAAAGAAAGGTTGAAGTCAGTCAGATGAATTCGCACATCGCAAAGAAGTTTCTCAGAATGATTCTGAGTAGTTTTGATGTGAAGATATTAACTTCTCCACAGTAGGCCTCAAAGCCCTCAAAATATCCACATGATCATTCTACAAAAAGGGTATTTCATAACTGCTCAATCAAAAGAAAGTTCCTATTCTGTGAGATGAATGTACACATCACAAAGAAGTTTCTCAGAATGCTTCTTTGTAGGTTTTATCTGAAGATATTTCCTTTTTCACCATAGGCCACAAAGGGCTCAAAATATCCACTTGCAGATTGCACAAAAAGACAGTTTCAAAGCTGCTCAATCCAAAGATATGTTCAAGTCTGTGAGTTGATTGCACACATCACAAATAAGTTTCTCAGAATCCTTCTTTGTAGTTTTTATGTGAAGACATTTCCTTTTCCACCGTAGGCCTCAAAACCCTCCAAATATCCACTTTCACATTCCACGAAAAGAGCGTTTCAAAACTGCTCAATCAAAAGAAAAATTCAACTCTGTGAGATGAATGCACACATCACAAAGCAGTTTTTCAGAATGCTCCTGTGTAGTGTTTATCTGAAGATATTTCCTTTTCCACCATAAGCCTCAAAGGGCTCCAAATATCCACTTGCAGATCCTACAAAAAGAGTGTTTCCAAACTGCTTAAAGAAAGTTTCAACTCTGTCAGATGAATGCACACATCACAAAGAAGCTTCTCAGAATGCTTCTGTGTAGTTTTTATGTGAAGATATTTCCTTTTCCACAATAGTCCCCTAAGCGTTCCAAATATCCACTTACTGATTCTACAAAAAAAAGTTTCCAAACTGCTCAATCAAAAGAAAGGTTCAAGTCTGTGAGATGAATGAACCCTTCACAGAGAAGTTTCTCAGAATGCTTCTGTGTAGTTTTTTTGTGAAGATATTTCCTTTTACACCATAGGTCACAAAGGGTTCCATATATCCACTTGCAGATTCTACAAAAAGACAGTTTCAAAATTGCTCTTTAAAAAGACAGGTTCAACTCTGTGAGGTGAATACACATATAACAAAGAAGTTTCTCAGAATGCTTCTGTGAAGTTTTTATGTGACGGTATTTCGTTTTCCACAATAGGCCACATAACACTCCAAGTATCCACTTGCGGATTCCACAAAAACAGTATTTCAAGCTGCACAATCAAAAGAAATATTCAACTCTGTGAGATGAATGCACACATCACCAAGAAATTTCTCAGAACGCTTCTGTGTAGGTTTTATGTGAAGATGTTTCCTTTTGCACTATAGGCCGCAAAGGGCTCCATATATCCACTTCCAGATTCTACAAAAATATATTTTCAAAACTGTTCAATCAAAAGATATGTTCAACTCTGAGAGTTGCCTGCATTCATCACAAAGAAGTTTCTCAGAGTACTGCTGTGTAGTTTTTTTTTAAATTTAATTGATTTTATTATTATTATACTTTAAGTTTTAGGGTACATGTGCACATTGTGCAGGTTAGTTACATAGGTGTACATGTGCCATGTTGGTGTGCTGCATCCATTAACTCGTCATTTAGCATTAGGTATATCTCCTAATGCTCTCCCTCCCCCCTACCCCCACCCCACATCAGTCCCCAGTGTGTGATGTTCCCCTTCCTGTGTCCATGTGTTCTCATCGCTCAATTCCCACCTATGAGTGAGAGCATGCAGTGTTTGGTTTTTTGTCCTAGCGATAGTTTACTGAGAATGATGATTTCCAATTTCATCCATGTCCCTACAAAAGACATGAACTCATCATTTTTGTATGGCTCCATAGTATTCCATGGTGTATATGTGCCACATTTTCTTAATCCACTCTGTTATTGTTGGACATTTGGGTTGGTTCCAAGTCTTTGCTATTGTGAATAGTGCTGCAATAAACATACGTGTGCATGTGTCTTTATAGCAGCATGATTTATAGTCCTTGGGTATATACCCAGTAATGGGATGTCTGGGTCAAATTGTATTTCTAGATCTACATCCCTGAGGAATCGCCACACTGACTTCCACAATGGCTGAATTAGTTTACAGCCCCACCAAAAGTGTAAAAGTGTTTCTATTTCTCCACATCCTCTCCAACACCTGTTGTTTCCTGACTTTTTAATGATTGCCATTCTAAATGGTGTGAGGTGGTATCTCATTGTGGTTTTCATTTGCATTTCTCTGATGGCCAGTTAAGGATAAGCATTTTTTCATGTGTTTTTGGCTGCATAAATGTCTTCTTTGGGAAGTGTCTGTTCATGTCCTTCACCCACTTTTTGATGGGATTGTTTGTTTTTTTTCTTGTAAATTTGTTTGAGTTCATTGTAGATTCTGGATATTAGCCCTTTGTCAGATAAGTAGGTTGTGAAAACTATCTCCCATTTTGTACATTGCCTGTTCACTCTGCTGGTAGTTTCTTTTGCTGTGCAGAAGCTCTTTAGTTTAATTAGATCCCATTTGACAATTATAGCTTTTGTTGCCATTGCTTTTGGTGTTTTAGACATGAAGTCCTTGCCCACGCCTATGTCCTGAATGGTAATGCCTGGGTTTTCTTCTAGGATTTTTATGGTTCTAGGTCTAACGTTTAACTTTTTAAACCATCTTGAATTAATTTTTGTATAAGGTGTAAGGAAGGGATCCAGTTTCAGCTTTCTACATATGGCTAGCCAGTTTTCCCAGCACCACTTATTAAATAGGGAATCCTTTCCCCATTGCTTGTTTTGTTCAGGTTTATCAAAGATCAGATAGTTGTAGATATGCAGTGTTATTTCTGAGGGCTCTGTTCTGTTCCATTGATCTATATCTCTGTTTTGGTACCAGTACCATGCTGTCTTGGTTACTGTAGCCTTGTAGTATAGTTCAAAGTCAGGTAGCCTGATGCCTCCAGCTTTGTTCTTGTGGCTTAAGATTGACTTGTTGATGCGGTCTCTTTTTTGGTTCCATATGAACTTTAAAGTAGTTTTTTTCCAATTCTGTGAAGAAGGTCATTGGTAGCTTGATGGGGATGGCATTGAATCTATAAATTACCTTCGGCAGTATGGCCATTTTCACAATATTGATTCTTCCTACCCATGAGCATGGAATGTTCTTCCATATATTTATATCCTCTTTTATTTCATTGAGCAGTGGTTTGTAGTTCTCCTTGAAGAGGTCCTTCACATCCCTTGTAAGTTGGATTCCTACACATTTTATTCTCTTTGAAGCAATTGCAAACGGGAGTTCACTCTTGATTTGGCTCTGTTTGTCTGTTATTGGTGTATAAGAATGCTTGTGATTTTTGCACATTGATTTTGTATCCTGAGACTTTGCTGAAGTTGCTCATCAGCTTAAGGAGATTTTGGGCTGAGACAATGGGGTTTTCTAGATATACAATCATGTCATCTGCAAACGAGCACAATTTGACTTCCTCTTTTCCTAATTGAATACCCTTTATTTCCTTCTCCTGCCTAATGGCCCTGGCCAGAATTCCCAACACTATGTTGAATAGGACTGGTGAGAGAGGGCGTCTCTGTCTTGTGCCAGTTTTCAAAGGGAATGCTTCCAGTTTTTGGCCATTCAGTATGATATTGGCTGTGGGTTTGTCATAGCTAGCTCTTATTATTTTGAGATACGTCCCATCAATACCTAATTTATTGAGAGTTTTTAGCATGAAGGGATGTTGAATTTTGTCAAAGGCCTTTTCTGCATCTATTGAGATAATCATGTGGTTTTTGTCTTTGGTTCTGTTTATATGCTGGATTACATTTATTGATTTGCATATATTGAACCAGCCTTGCATCCTAGGGATGAAGCCCACTTGATCATATTGGATAAGCTTTTTGATGTGCTTCTGGAATCGGTTTGCCAGTATTTTATTGAGGATTTTTGCATCAATGTTCATCAAGGATATTGGTCTAAAATTTTGTTTTTTTGTTGTGTCTCTGCCCGGCTTTGGTATCAGGATGATGCTGTCCTCATAAAATGAGTTTGGGAGGATTCCCTCTTTTTCCATTGATTGGAATAATTTCAGAAGGAATGGTACCAGTTCCCCCTTGTACATCTGGTAGAATTTGGCTGTAAATCCTTCTGGTCCTGGACTCTTTTTGTTGGTAAGCTATTGATTATTGCCACAATTTCAGAGCCTCTTATTGGTCTATTCAGAGAGTCAACTTCTTCCTGGTTTAGTCTTGGGAGGGTGTATGTGTCTAGGAATTTATCCATTCCTTCTAGATTTTGTAGTTTTTTTGTGTAGAGGTGTATGTAGTATTCTCTGATGGTAGTTCGTATTTTTGTGGGATCAATGGTGATACTCACTTTATCATTTGTTATTGCGTCTATTTGATTCTTCTTTCTTTTCTTCTTTATTAGTCTAGCTAGTGGTCTATCAATTTTGTTGATCTTTTCAAAAAACAAGCTCCTGGATTCACTAATTTTTTGAAGGGTTTTTTGTGTCTCTATTTCCTTCAGTTCTGCTCTGATTTTAGTTATTTCTTGCATTCTGCTAGCTTTTGAATGTGTTTGCTCTTGCTTTTCTGGTGCTTTTAATTGTGATGTTAGGGTGTCAATTTTGGATCTTTCCTGCTTTCTCTTGTGGGCATTTAGTGCTATAAATTTCCTTCTACACACTGCTTTGAATGTGTCCCGGAGATTCTGGTATGTTGTGTCTTTGTTCTCATTGGTTTCAAAGAACATCTTTATTTCTGCCTTCATTTTGTTATGTACCCAGTAGTCATTCAGGAGTAGGTTGTTCAGTTTCCATGTAGTTGAGCGGTTTTGAGTGAGTTTCTTAATCCTGAGTTCCAGTTTGATTGCACTGTGGTCGGAGAGACAGTTTGTTATAATTTCTGTTCTTTTACATTTGCTGAGGATAGCTTTAGTTCCAACTATGTGGTCAATTTTGGAATAGGTGTGGTGTGGTGCTGAAAAAAATGTATATTCTTTCGATTTGGGGTGGAGAGTTCTGTAGATGTCTATTAGGTCCGCTTGGTGCAGGGCTGAGTTCAATTCCTGGGTATCCTTGTTAACTTTTTGTCTCGTTGATCTGTCTAATATTGACAGTGGGGTGTTATATTATCCACTTATTATTGTGTGGGAGTCTAAGTCTCTTTGTACATCACTCAGGACTTTCTTTAACAATCTGGGTGCTCCTGTGTTGAGTGCATATATATTTAGGATAGTTAGCTCTTCTTGTTGAATTGATCCCTTTACTATTATGTAATGGCCTTCTTTGTCTCTTTTGATCTTTGTTGATTTAAAGTCTGTTTTATCAGAGACTAGGATTGCAACCCCTGCCTTTTTTTGTTTTCCATTTACTTGGTAGATCTTCCACCATCCTTTCATTTTGAGCCTATGTTTGTTTCTGCATGTGAGATGGGTTTCCTGAATACAGCACATTGATGGGTCTTGACTCTTTATCCAAATTGCCAGTCTGTGTGTTTAATTGGAGCATTTAGTCCATTTACATTTAGAGTTAATATTGTTATGTGTGAATTTGATCCTGTCGTTATGATGTTTTTTGGTTATTTTGCTCGTTAGTTGATGCAGTTTCTTACTAGCCACAGTGGACTTTACAATTTGGCATGATTTTGCACTGGCTGGTACTGGTTGTTTCTTTCCATGTTTAGTGCTTCCTTCAGGAGCTCTTTTAGGGCAGGCCTGGTGGTGACACAATCTCTCAGCATTTGATTGTCTGTAAAGTATTTTATTTCTCCTTCACTTATGAAGCTTACTTTGGCTGGATATGAAATTCTGGGTTGAAAATTCTTTTCTTTAAAAATGTTGAATATTGGCCCACACTCTCATCTGGCTTGTAGAGTTTCTGCCAAGAGATCTGCTGTTAGTCTGATGGGCTTCCCTTTGAGGGTAACACCACCTTTCTCTCTGGCTGCCCTTAACATTTTTTCCTTTATTTCAACTTTGGTGAATCTGACAATTATTTGTCTTGGAGTTGCTCTTCTCGAGGAGTATCTTTGTGGCATTCTCTGTATTTTCTGAATCTGAATGTTGGCCTGCCTTGATAGATTGGGGAAGTTCTCCTGGATAATATCCTGCAGAGTGTTTTCCAACTTGGTTCCATTCTCCACATCACTTTCAGGTACACCAATCAGACGTAGATTTGGTCTTTTCACATAGTCCCATATTTCTTGCAGTCTTTGTTCATTTCTTTTTATTCTTTTTTCTCTAAACTTCCCTTCTCACTTTATTTCATTTATTTCAACTTCCATCACTGATACCTTTTCTTCCAGTTGATCGCATCTGCTCCTGAGGCTTCTGCATTCTTCATGTAGTTCTGGAGCCTTGGCTTTCACCTCCATCAGCTCCTTTAAGCACTTCTCTGTGTTGGTTATTCTAGTTATACATTCGTCTAAATTTTTTCAATGTTTTTAACTTCTTTGCCTTTGGTTTGAATTTCCTCCTGTAGCTCTGAGTAATTTGATTGTCTGAAGCCTTCTTCTCTCAACTCGTCAAAGTCATTCTCCGTCCAGCTTTGTTCCATTTCTTATGAGGAACTGCATTCCTTTGGAGGAGGAGAGGCACTCTGTTTTTAGAGTTTCTAGTTTTTCTGCTCTGTTTTTTCCCCATGATTGTGGTTTTATCTAATTTTGGTCTTTTATGGTGGTGATATACAGATGGGTTTTTGGTGTGGATGTCCTTTCTGTTTGTTAGTTTTCCTTCTAACAGACAGGACCCTCAGCTGCAGGTCTGTTGGAGTTTGCTGGAGGTCCACTCCAGATCCTGTTTGCCTGGGTATCAGCAGCGGTGACTGCAGAACAGCGGATTTTCATGAACCACGAATGCTGCTGTCTGATCTTTGCTCTGGAAATTTTGTCTCAGAGGACTACCCGGCCATGTGAGGTGTCAGTCTGTCCCTACTGAGGGGTGTCTCCCAGTTAGGCTGCTCGGGGTCCAGGGGTCAGGTACCCACTTGAGGAGGCAGTCTGCCCATTCTCAGATCTCCAGCTGTGTGCTGGGAGAACCACTGCTCTCTTCAAAGCTGTCAGACAGGGACATTTAAGTCTGCAGAGGTTACTGCTGTCTTTTTGTTTGTCTGTGCCCTGCCCCCAGAGGTGGAGCCTACAGAGGAAGGCAGGTCTCCTAGAGCTGTGGTGGGCTACACCTACTTCGAGCTTTCCAGCAGCTTTGTTTACCTAAGCAAGCCTGGGCAATGGGGGGTGCCCCACCCCCAGCTTCACTGCCACCTTTTAGTTTGATCACAGACTGCTGTGCTAGCAATCAGTGAGACACCGTGGACATAGGACCCTCCAAGCAAGGTGTGGGATATAATCTCCTGGTGCGCCATTTTTTAAGCCCATTGAAAAAGTACAGTATTAGTGTGGGAGTGACTGGATTTCCCAGGTGCCGTCTGTCACCCCTTTATTTGACTAGGAAAGGGAACTCCCTAACCACTTGCACTTCCCAAGTGAGGAAATGCCTCACTCTGCTTCTGCCCACACATGGTGCACTGCACCCACTATCCTGCGCCAACTGTCTGGCACTCCCTAGTGAGATGAACCAGGTATCTCAGATGGAAATGAGGAAATCATTCATCTTCTGTGTCACTCATGCTGGGAGCTGTAGAACAGAGCTGTTCCTATTTGGCCATCTTGACTGCCACCTCATTTGCCAGTTGGCTTCTGTGTAGTTTTTATGTGAAAATATTTCCCTTTCCACCATAGGCCACAAAGGGCTCCAAATATCCACTTGCAGATTCTACAAAAAGAGAGTTTCAAAACTGTTCAACCAAACGAAAGTTTCAACTCTGTGAGTTGTATGCACACATCAGAAAGAAGTTTCTCTGAATACTTCCACATAGTTTTTATGTGAAGGTATACCCATTTCCACCATAGGCCACAAAGCGCTCCAAATATCCACTTGCAGATTCTACAAAGTGAGTGTTTCCAAACTGCTCAATCAAAAGAAAGTTTCAACTCTGTGAGATGAATGCACACATTGCAAAGTAGTTTCTCAGAATGGTTCTGCTTAGTTTTTATGTGAAGATATCTCCTTTTACACAATAGGCCTAAAAGTCCTCCAAATATCCACTTGCTGATCCTTTAAAAAGACTGTTTCATAACTGCTTAATCAAAAGAAAGGTTCAACTCTGTGAGATGAATGCACAAATCACAAAGAAGTTTCTCAGAATGCTTCTCTGTAGTTTTTATGTGAAGATATCTCCTTTTCCACAATAGGTAGCAAATAGTTCCAAATATCCACTTGCGGATTCTACAAAAAGAGAGTTTCAAAATTGCTGAATCAAAAGATAGGTTCAAACTTGTGAGTTGAATGCACACATTGCAGAGAAGTTTCTCAGAATGCTTCTGTGTAGTTCTCATGTGAAGATATTTCCTTTTCCACCATAGGCCTCAAAGCGATCCAATCATCCACTTTAGATACTACAAAAAAAGTGTTTCCAAACTGCTCAATCAAAAGAAAGGTTCAACTCCGTGAGATGAAGGCACACATGACAAAGAATGTCCTCAGAAATCTTTTTTGTAGTTTTTATGTGAAGGTATGTCCTTTTCCACTGTAGGCCGCAAAGGGCTCCAAATATCCTCTTGCAGATTCTACAAAAAGTGAGATTCAAAACTGCTCAATCGAAAGATAGTTTCAACTCTGTTAGTTTAATGCACACTTAACAAATATGCTTCTCAGAATGCTTCTGTGATAACAAAGATGTTTCTCATAATGCTTCTGTGTAGTTTTTATGTGAAGATATTTCCATTTCCACCATAGGCCTCAAAGAGCTCCAAATATCCACCTGCAGATTCTACAAAAAGAAAGTTTCAAAACTGCTGAATGAAAAGAAAAGTTTAACACTGTGAGATGAATGCACACATCACACAGAACTTTCTTAGAATGATTCTGTGCAGCTTTTATGTGAAGATATTTCCTTTTCCACAATAGGAACCTAAGCGCTCCAAATATCAACTTGCAGATTCTACAAAAAGAGTTTTTCAAAACTGCTCAATCAAAAGAAAGGTTCAACTCTGTGAGATGAAAGCACACTTCACGAAGAGGTTTCTCGGAATGCTTCTGTGTAGATTTCATGTGAAGATATTTTCTTTTCAACTATTTGCCTCAAAGTGCTCCAATTATCCACTTGCAGATTCTACAAACAGAGTGTTTAAAAACTGCTAAATGAAAAAGAAAGATTCATCTCTGTGAGATGAATGCACACATCACCACGAAGTTTCTCAGAATGCTTCTGTGTAGTTTTTAGTTGAAGATATTCCCATTTCCACCATAGGCCACAAATGGCTCCAAATATCCACTTGCAGATTCTACAAAAAGAGTTTCAAAACTGTTCAATGAAAAAATAGGTTCAACTCCATGAGTTGAATGCACACAACACAGAGAAGTTTCTCAGAAAGCTTCTATGTAGTTTTTATGTGAAGATATTTCTTCCACACATTAGGCCTCAAAGTGCTCCAAATATTCACTTGCAGATACTTCAAAAAGATTCTTTCAAAACTGCTCAATCAAAAGAAAGGTTCATCTCTGTGAGATGAATGCTCACATCACAAAGAAGTTTCTCAGAATACTTCTGTTTGTTTTTTATGTGAAGGCATGTCCTTTTCCAAAATAGGCCACAAAAGGCTAGAAATATTCACTTGCAGATAATAGAAAAAGACAGTTTCAAAATGGCTCAATCAAATGATAGGTTCAAATCTGTGAGTTGAATGCACACATCACAAAGGAGTTTCTCAGAATACTTCTGTGTAGTTTTCATATGAAGGCATTTCTTTTTCCATCATAGGTCTCAAAGGGCTCCAAATATACAACTGCAGATACTACAAAAAGAGAGTTTCAAAACTGCTAATCAAAAGATAGATTCACATCAGTGAGTTGAATGTACACATCACAAAGAAGTTTCTCAGAATGCTTCTGTGTGGTCTTGAAGTGAAGATATTTTCTTTTCCACAATAGGCCTCAAAGCGTTCCAAATATCCACTTGCAGAATACACAAAAACAGTGTTTCAATACTGCTCAATCAAAAAAAGATTCAACTCTGTGGGATGAAAGCACACATCACAAAGAATTTTCTCAGAATGCTTCTGTGCAGTTTTTATGTGAAGATATTTCCTTTTTCAAAACAGGCCTCAAAGCCCTCCAAATATCCACTTGCAGATTCTACAAAAAGTGTGTTTCAAAACTGCTCAATCAAAAGACACGTTCATCCTGTGTGATGAATACACTCATCACACAGTAGTTTCTCAGAATGCTTCTGTGAAATTTTTATGTGAAGATATTTCCTTTTCCACAATAGGCCTCAAAGCACTCTGTATATCCACTTTCAGATTCTACAAAAAGAGATTAAAAACTGCTCAAACAAAACATAGGTTAAACTCTGTGAGAGGAATTCACAATTCACAAAGAAGTTTATCAGAATGCTACTGTGTAGTTTTTATTTGAAGATATTTCCTTTTCCACAATATGCATCAAAGTTCTCCAAATATCCAAATGCAGATTCTACACAAAGAGTGTTTCAAAACTGCTCAATCAAAAGAAAGGTTCAACTCTGTAAGATGAATGAACACATCACAAAGAAGTTTCTCAGAATGCTTCTGTGTAGTTTTTATGTAAATATATTTGCTGTTCAACTGTTGGCCTCAAAGCGCTCCAAATATCCACTTGCATATTCTACAAATAGAGTATTTCAAAACTGCTGAATTATAAAATAGGTTCAACCCTGTGAGATGAATGCACCCATCACAAAGAAGTTTCTCAGAATGCTTCTGTGTTGTTTTTATGTGAAGATATTTCCTTTTCCACAATAGTCCTCAAAAGGCCCCAAATATCCACTTGCAGATTCTACAAATAGAGTGTTTCATAACTGCTAAATCATAAGATAGTTTCAAATCTCTGAGATAAATGCACACATCACAAATAAGTTTATCAGGGTACTTTTGTGTAGTTTTTATGTTAAGATATTTTGTTTTCCAAAATAGGTCTCAAAACACTCCAAATATCCACTTGTGGATTCTACAAAAAGATTGTTTCAATACTGCTCTATCATAAGACAGGTTCAGCTGTGTGAGATGAATGCAGACATCACAAAGAAGTTTCCCAGAATTCTTCTGTGAAGTTTTTATGTGAAGATATTTGCTTTTCCACAGTAGGCCTCAAAACGCTCCAAATATCCATTTGAAGATTCTACAAAAACAGTGTTTCAAAACTGCTGAATCATAAGATAAGTTCAACTCTGTGAGTTGAATGCACACATAACAAAGAAGTTCCTCAGAATGCTTCTGTGTAGTTTTTATTTGAAGATATTTCCTTTTCCACTTTAGGCCACAAAGGGCTCCAAATATCTGCTTGCAGATCCTACAAAAAGATTGTTTCAAAACTGCTCAATCAAAAGAAATGTTCAACTCTGTGAGATGAAGGCACACATCTCAAAGAAGTTTCTCAGAATGCCTCTGTGTTGATTTTATGTGAAGATATTTTCTTCTTCAGAGTAGGCCTCAATTACTCCAAATATCCACTTGCAGACGGTTCAAAAAGAGTGTTTCCAAACTGCTCAATCAAAAGAAATGTTCAACTCTGTGAGAGGAATGCACATATCCCAGGGAAGCTTCCCAGAAATCTTCTGTGTAGTTTTTATGTGAAGATATTTCCTTTTCCACAGTAGGCCTCAAAAGGCTCCAAGTATCCACTTACAGATTCTACAAAGAGAGTGTTTCAAAACTGCTCAATCAAATGAAAGGTTCACCTCTGTGAGATGAATGCACACATCATGAAGAAGTTTCTCTGAATGCTTCTGTGTACCTTTTCTTTTAAGATATTTCCTTTTCATTCATAGGCCACAAAGGGCACCAAATATCCAATTGCAGATTCTACGAAGAGAGATCCAATACTGCCCAATCAAAAGATAGGTTCAACTATGTGAGTTGAATGCACACATCATGAAGAAGTTTCTCAGAATGCCTCAGTGCAGTTCTTATGTGAAGATATTTGTTCTTCCACAGTAGGCTTCAAAGCGCTCTGAATATCCACTTGCAGATTCTATGAAAACAGCATTTCAGAATTGCTCAATCAAAAGAAAATTTCAACACTGTGAGATGAATGCACACATCACAAAGTAGTTTTTCAGAATGCTTCTGTGTAGTTTTTATGTGAAGATATTTCCTTTTCCACAATAGGCCTCAAAGCGCTCCAAATATCCACTTGCAGATTCTATGAAAACAGCATTTCAAAACTGCTCAATCAAAAGGAAATTTCAACTCTGTGAGATGAGTTCACACATCACAAAGAAATTTCTCACAATTCCTCCGTGTACAGTTTATTTAAAGATATTTCCTTTTCCACCATAGGCTGATAAGGGCTCCAAATATCCGGTTGAAGATTCCACAAAAAGATTCAAAACTGCTCCACTAAGACATTGGTTCAACTCTGTGAGTTGAATGCACACATCACAAAGATGTTTCTCAGAATGCTTCTGTGTAGTTTTTATGTGAAGATATTTCCTTTTCCAAAATAGGCCTCAAAACCCTCCAAATATCTACCTGCTGATTCTACAAAAAGAGTGTTTCAAATCTGCTCAATCAAAAGAAGTTAAAATCTGTATGATGAATGCACACATCATAAAGAAGTTTCTCAGACTGCCTAAGTGTAGTTTTTACATGAAGATATTTCCTTTTCCACAGAAGGCCTCAAAGCTTTCCAAATATACACTTGCAGATTCTACAAAAAGAGTGTTTCAAAACTGCTCTATCAAAAGATAGTTTCAACACTGTGAGTTGAATGTACACATCACAAAGAAGTTTCTCAGAATGCTTCTGTGTAGTTTTGATATGAAGATATTTCCTTTTCCAAAATAGGCCTCAAAGCCCTCCAAATATCCACTTGCAGTTTCTACATAAAGAGTGTTACAAAACTGTTCAATCAAAAAGAAAGGTTCAACTATGTGTGATGAATGCACTCATAACAAAGAAATTTCTCAGAAAGCTTCTGTGTAGTTTTTATGTGAAAATATTTCCTTTTCCACAATAGACCTAAAAGCACTGCAAATATTCACTCTCAGATTCTACAAAAAGAGTGATTCAAAACTGTTCAATCAAAACATAGGTTCAACTCTGTGAGTTGAATGCACACATCACAAAAAGTTTCTCAGAATGCTTCTGTGTAGTTGTTATGTGAAGATATTTCCTTTTCCACACTACGCTTCAAAGGCCTCCAAATATCCACTTGCAGATTCTGCAAAAAGAGAGATTAAAAACTGCTCCATCAAAATATAGGTTCGATTCTGTGAGTTGAATGCACACATCACAAAGAAGTTTCTCAGAATGCTTCTGTGCAGTTTTTATGTGAAGATATTTGCTTTTCCACAGTAGGCCTCAAAGTGCTCCAAATATCCACTTGAAGACTCTACAAAAACAGTGCTTCAAAACTGCTGAATCATAAGATAGTTTCAACTCTGTGAGTTGAATGCACACATAGCAAAGAAGTTCCTCAGAATGCTTCTGGGTAGTTTTTATTTGAAGATATTTCCTTTTCCTCCATAGGCCGCAAAGGGCTCCATATGACCACTTGCAAATCCTACAAAAAGAGGGAATCAAAACTGCTCAATGAAAAGATAGATTCAACTCTGTGAGTTTAATGCACATATCACAAAGTGGTTTCTCAGAATGCTTCTGTGTAGTTTTTATGTGAAGATATTTCCCTTTTCACCATAGGCCACATCGGCTCCAAATATACACTTGCAGATTCTATAAAAAGAGTGTTTCAAAACTGCCCAATCATAAGATAGGTTCAATAATGTGAGATGAAAGCACACATCACAAAGAAGTTTCTCAGAATGCTTCTGTGTAGTTTTTATTTAAAGATATTTCCTTTTCCACCATAGGCTTCAAAGTGGTCCAAACAGTCACTTGTAGATACAACAAAAAGAGTGTTTCCAAACTGCTAAATCAAAAGAAAGGTTCAACTCTGTGAGATGAAGGCACACATGACATAGAAGTTCCTCAGAAATCTTTTTTGTAGTTTTTATGTGAAGGTATTTCCTTTTCCACCATAGGCTGAAAATGGCTCCAAATATCCTCTTGTAGATTCTACCAAAAGAGAGATTCAAAACTGCTCAATCAAAAGAAAGTTTCAACTCTGTGAGTTTAATGCACACTTAACAAAGGTGTTTCTCAGAATACTTCTGTGTAGTTTTTATGTGAAGATATTTCCATTTCCACCATAGGCCTCAAAGCTCTCCATATATCCACTTGCAGATTCTACAAACAGAAAGATTCAAAACTGCTGAATGAAAAGAAAGGTTCAACATTGTGAGATGAATGCACACATCACACAGAAGTTTCTCAGAATGATTCTATGCAGTTTTTATGTAAAGATATTTCCTTTTCCACAATAGGAATCTAAGCGCTCCAAATATCAACTTGCAGATTCCACATAAAGAGTTTTTCAAAACTGCTCAATCAAAAGAAAGGTTCAACTCTGTGAGATGAATGCACACATCACAAAGAGGTTTCTCGGAATGCTTCTGTGTAGATTTCATTTCAAGATATTTTCTTTTCAACAATAGGCCTCAAAGCACTCCAACTATCCGCTTGTAGATTATACAGAGTGTTTCAAAACTGCTAAATGAAAAGAAAGATTCATCTCTGTGAGATGAACGCACACATCACCATGAAGTTTCTCAGAATGCTTCTGTGTAGTTTCGCTGTGAAGATATTTCCTTTTCCACAATAGGCCTCAAATCTCTCCAAATATCCACTCACAGATTATGCAAAAAGAGAGATTCAAAACTGCTCAATCAAAAGATAGGTTTGACTCCATGAGTTGAATGCACACAAAACAAAGAAGTTTCTCAGAATGCTGCTGTGTAGGTTTTATGTGAAGATATTTCCTTTTCCACAATAGGCGTCAAATCGATCCAAATATCCACTTGCAGATTCTACAAAGAGTGTTTCAAACGCACTCAATCAAAACATAGGTTCAATTCTGTGAGCTGAATGCACTCAACACAAACATGTCTATCAGAATGCTTCTTTGTAATTTTTATGTGAAGATATTTCCTTTTCTACCATAGGCCACAAAGAGCTCCAAATATCCACTTGCACATTCTACAAAAAGAGTGTTTCAAAACTGCTCAATCAAAAGAAAGGTTCAACTCTGTGAGATGAATGTACACATCACAAAGAAGTTTATCTGGTTGTTTTGGCAGAGATTTATATGAAGATACTTCCTTTTCTACCATTGATCACAAAGGGCTCCAAACGTCCACTTGCAGATTCTACAGAAAGAGTGTCTCCAAACTGCCCAATCAAAAGGAAGGTTCATCTGTGTGAGATGGACGCATGTATCAGAAAAAAGTTTCACAGAATTCTTCTCTCCAGTTTTCATGTGAAGATATTTGCTTTTCCACCAGAGGCCTCAAAGCCCTCCAAATGTCCACTTGAAGATTCTACAAAAAGAGTGTTTCCAAATTGCTCCATGAAAAGAAACTTTGAACACTGTGAGATGAACGCACACATCACAAAGAAGTTTCTCAGAACTCTTCTGTCTAGTTTTTATGTGAAGATATTTCCTTTTCCACCATAGGCCTCAAAGCACTCCAAATATCCACTTGCAGATTTTACAAAAGGAGAGTTTCAAAACTCCTCCATCAAAAGAAAGGTTTAACTCTCTTAGACAAAAGCACACGTCACAAGGAAGTTTGTCAGGTTGATTCTGTCTAGATTTTATGTGAAGATATTTCCTTTTCTACCACAGGCCCCAAAGCGTTCCAAATATCCACTTGTAGATTCCACAAAAAGAATGTTTCCAAACAGCTCAATCAAAAAAGAGGTTCACCTCTGTAAGATGAATGCACGCATCACAAAGAAGTTTCTCAGAATTCTTCTGTTTAGTTTTTATGTGAAGATATTTCCTTTTCCACCAGAGGCCTTAATGCCCTCCAAATATCGACTTGCGGATTCTACAAAAAGAGAGTTTCAAAACTCCTCAATCAAAAGAAAGGTTTAACTCTCTCAGGGGCATGCACAAAACACAAAGTAGTTTCTCTGATTGCTTATGTCTAGATTTTATGTGAAGATAGTTCCTTTTCTACAATAGGTGGCAAAGCACTCCAAATGTACACTTGCAGATTCTCCAAATAGAGGGTTTACAAACTTCTCAATCAAAAGAAAGGTCCAACTCTGTGAGATGAATGCACACATCACATAGAAGTTGCTCAGAATACTTGTGTCTAGTTTTTATGTGAAGATATTTCATTTTCCACCATAGTCCTCAAGGTGCTCGAAATGTCCAACTGCAAATTCTACAAAAAGACTATTTCATAATTGGTCCATCAGAAAAAAAGGTTTAACTCTGGGAAATGATTGCACACATCACAAAGAAGTTTCTCTGAATGCTTCTATCTAGTTTTTATGTGAAGGTATTTCCTTTTACACCATAGGCCTCAAAGTGCTCCAAATGTCCACTTGCAGATTCTACAAAAATAGAGTTTCAAAAATGCTCAATCAAAAGAAATGGTTAACTCTGTGAGATGAATGCACACAAGAAAAAGTCGTTTCTCAGAATGGTTCTGTCTAGATTTTTTGTGAAGATATTTCCTTTTCTACCATAGGCCGCAAAGTGCTCCAAATGTCCACTTGCAGGTTCTACAAAAAGAGTGTTTCCAAACTGCTCAATCAAAAGAAAGGTTCAACTCTGCCAGATGAATGCACACATCACAAAGAATTCTCTCAGAATTCTTCTGGCTAGTTTTTATGTGAAGATAATTCCTTTTCTTCCATAGGCCTAAAAGCATTCCAAATGTCCACTTGCAGATTCTGCAAAAAGAGATTTCTAAAGCTGCTCAATCAAAAGGAAGGTTTAAGTCTGTGAGATGAAAGCACACATCACAAAAAGTTTCTCAGATTGCTTCTGTCTAGATTTTATATGAAGTTATTTCCTTTTCCACCATAGAACAATAAGCGTTCCAACTGCCCCTTGCAGATTCTACAAAAACAGTGTTTCCAAACTTCTCAATCAAAAGAAAGATTCAACTCTGTGAGATGAATGCACACATCACAAAGAACTTTCTCAGAATGCTTCTGTCTAGTTTTTATATGAAGATATTTCATTTTCCACCATAGGCCTCAAGGCACTCAAAATGCCCCCTGGCAGATTCTACAAAAGGAGAATTTCGAACCTGGTCCATCAAAAGAAAGTTTCACCTCCTTGAGATGAATGCACACATCACAAAGAGGTTTCTCAGAATGCTTCTGTCTAGTTTCTATGTGAAGATATTTCCTTTTCCACCGTAGGCCTCAAGGCGCTCAAAATGTCCACTTGCAGATCCTACAAAAACAGTATTTCAAAACTGGTCCATCCAAAGAAAGGTTCAACTCTGGGAGATGGATGCACACATCACAAAGAAGTTTCTCAGAACGCTTCTATCTTGTTTTTATGTGAAGATATTTCCTTTTCCACCATAGGCCCCAAAGCCTTCCAAATGTCCAATTGCAGATTCTACAAAAAGAGAGTTTCAAAAGTGCTCAATCATAATAAGGCTTAACTCTGTGAGATGAATGCACACATCACAGAGAAGATTCTCAGATTACTTCTGTCTAGATTGTATGTAAAGATATTTCCCTTTCTACCATAGGCTACAAAACACTCCAAATGTCCACTTGCAGATTCTACAAAAAGAGAGTTTCCAAACTGCTCAATCAAAGGTTCAACTCTGTGAGATGAACACACATATAAAAAAGAAGTTTCTCAGAATTCTTCTGTTTATTTTTTAAGTGAAGATATTTCCTTTTCCATCATAGGCCTCAAGGTGCTACAAATGTCCACTTGCAGATCCTACAAAAAGAGAGTTTTAAAAGTGCTCAATCAAAAGAAAGGTTTTACTCTGTAAGGTGAATGCACACATCACAAAGAATTTTCTCAGATTGCTTCTGTCTAGATTTTATGTGAAGATATTTCCTTTTCTACCATAGGCCACAAAGTGCTCCAAATGTCCACATGCAGATTCTACAATAAGAGTGTTTCAAAACTGCTCAATCAAAAGAAAGGTTCAACTCTGTGAAATGAACGCACACATTACAAAGAAGTTTCTCAGAATTCTTCTGTCTAGTTTTTATGTGAAGATATTTCCTTTTCCATCTTAGGCCTCAAAGCGCTCCAAGTGTCCAACTGCAGATTCAACAAAAAGAGAGTTTCAAAACTGCTCAATCAAAAGAAAGGTTTCACTTAGTGAGATGAATGCACACATCACAGAGAAGTTTCTAAGATTGCTTCAGTCAAGATTTTATATGAAGATATTTCACTTTCACCTTAGGCCTCAAGGTGCTCGAAATGCCCCCTGGCAGATTCTACAAAAGGAGTATTTCAAACCTGGTCCATCAAAAGAAAGTTTCAACTCTTTGAGATGAATGCACACATCACAAAGAAGTTTCTCAGAATGCTTCTGTCTAGTTTTTATGTGAACATATTTCCTTTTCCACTGTAGGCCTCAAAGCACTCCCAATGTCAATTTGCAGATTCTACAAAAAGAGAATTTCAAAACTACTCCATCAAAAGTAAGGTTTCACTCTGTGAGATGAATGCACACATCACAAAGAAGTTTCTCAGATTGCTTCTGTCTGGATTTTCTGTGAAGAGATTTCCTTTTCTACCATAAGCCTCAAAGCACACCAAATGTCCATTGGCAGATTCTACAAAAAGAGTGTTTCCAAACTGCTCAATCAAAAGAAAGTTTCACCTGTGTGATATGAACGCACAAATCACAAAGAAGTTTCTCAGAATTCTTCTGTCTCATTTTTATCTGAAAGTATTTCTTTTCCCTCTATAGGCCTCAGGGTGCTCGAAATGTCCACTTGCAGATTCTACAAAAAGAGTATTTCAAAACTGGTCCATTAAAAGAAAGCTTCAACTCTGGGAGATGAATGCACACATCATGAAGAAGTTATTCAGAATGCTTATGTCTAGTTTATTTTTGAAGATATTTCCTTTTCCACCATCGGCCTCAAAGCCCTCCAAATGTCCACTTCCAGATTACACAAAAAGAGAGTTTCAAAACTGCTGAATCAAAAGAAAGGCTTTACTCTGGAATATGAATGCACGCATCACAAAGAAGATTTTCAGATAGCTTCTGTCTAGATTTTATGTGTAGATATTTCCTTTTCTACCATAGGCTGCAAAACGCTCCAAATGTCCACTTGCAGATTCTACAAGATAAAGTGTTTCCAAACTCCTCAATCAAAAGAAAGGCTCAACTCTTTGAGATGAACACACGCATCAAAAAGAAGTTTCTCAGAATTATTCTGTCTAGTTTTTATGTGAGAATATTTCTTTTTCCATCATAGGACTCAAAGTGCTCCAAATGTCCACTTGCAGGTTCTACAAAAAGAGAGTTTCCAAACTGCTCAATCAAAAGAAAGGTTTAACTCTGTCAGATGAATGCCTACATCACAAAGAAGTTTCTCATATTGCTTCTGTCTAGATTTTAAATGAAGATATACCCTTTTCTACCATTGGCCCCAAGGCGTTCCAAATGTCCACTTGCAGATTCTACAAAAAGAGTATTTCAAAACTGATACATCAAAAGGAAGGTTCAGCTCTTGGAGATGAATGCACACTTCACAAAGAAGTTTCTCAGATTGCTTCTGTCTAGACTTAAGATGAAGATATTTCCCTTTCTACTATAGGCCGCCAAGCACTCCAAATGTCCACTGGCAGATTCTACGAAAAGAGTGTTTCCAAACTGCTGAATCAAAAGAAAGTTTCAACTCTGTGAGATGAACGCACATATCACAAAGAAGTTTTTCAGAGTTCTTCTGTCTAGTTTTTATGTGAAGATATTTCCTTTTCCACCTTAGTCCTCAAAGCCCTCAAAATGTCCACTTGCAGATTCTACAAAAAGAGAGTTGCAAAACTGCTCAATCAAAAGAAAGGTTCAACTCTGTCAGAGGAATGCACACATCACAAAGAAGTTTCTCAGGTTGCTGCGGCAGAGATTTATATGAAGATACTTCCTTTTCTGCCATAGGCCACAAAGGTCTCCAAATATCCACTTACAGATTCTAAAGAAGGAGAGTCTCCAAACTGCTCAATCAAAAGAAGGTTCATCTGGGTGAGATGAAAGCCCACAACAAAAGAACTTTCACAGAATTCTTCTCTCTAGTTTTCATGTGAAGATATTTCCTTTTTCACCATAGGCCTCAAAGCCCTCCTAATGTCCACCTGAAGATTCTAGAAAATGAGTGTTTCCAAAATGCTCCATCAAAAGAAACTTTGAACTCTGTGAGATGAACGCAAACATCACCAGTAGTTTTTCAGATTTCTTCTGTCTAGTTTTTTTGTGAAGATATTTTCTTTTCCACCATAGGTATCAAATCGCTCTAAACATCCACTTGCAGATTCTACAAAAAGAGAGGTTCAAAACTGCTCAATATAAAGAAAGTTTTAACTCTGTGACATGAATGCACACATCAGAAAGAAGTTTCTCAGATTGCTTCCTTCTAGATTTTATGTGAAGATATTTCCTTTTCTACCACAGGCCGCAAAGCACTCCAAATGGCCATTTGCAGATCCTACAAATGATTGTTTCCAAACTGCTCAATCAAAAGAAAGATTCAACTCTGTGAGATGAAAGCACACATCACAAAACAGTTTCTCAGAATTCTTCTGTCTAAATTTAATATAAAGATATTTTCTTTTCCACCAAAGGCCTCAAAGCCCACCAAATGTTCATTGCAGATTCTACAAAAAGAGAATTTCAAAACTGCTCAATCCAAAGAAAGGTTTAACTCTGTGAGATGAATGCACTCATCACAAAGAAGTTTCTCAGATTGCTTCTGTCTAAATTTTATGTGAAGATATTTGTTTTCTACCTTAGGCCGCAAAGTGCTCCAAATGTCCACTTGCAGATTTTACAAAAAGAGTGTTTCCAAACTACTCAATCCAAACAAAGGTTCAAATCTGTGAGATGAACACATGCATCACAAAGAAGGTTCTCAGAATTCTTCTTTCTAGTTTTTATGTGAAGATATTTCCTTTTCCACCGTAGGCCTCATATCTGTTCAAACGTCCACTTGCAGATTATATAAAAAGAGAGTTCAAAACTGCTCAGTCAAAATAAAGGTTTAACTCTGTGAGATGAATGCACATATCACAAAGAAGTTTCTCAGATTGCTTCCGTGTAGATTTTAATTGAAGATTATTCTTTTTCTACCATTGACTGCAAAGCATACAAATTTTCCACTTGCAGATTCGCCAAAAGAGTGTTTCCAAACTTCTCAATCAAAAGAAAGGTTCAGCTCTGTGAGATGAATGTACACATCACAATTGAAGTTTCCTGGAATTATTCTGTCTAGTTATTATGTGAAGATATTTCATTTTCCACCATAGGCCTCAAGGCGTTCCAAATGTCCACTTGCAGATTCCACAAAAAGATTATTTCAATACTGGCCCATCAAAAGAAATGTTGAACTCTGGGACATGAATGCACTCATCACAAAGAAGTTTCTCAGAATGGTTCTAATTAGTTTTTATCTGAAGATATTTCTTTTCCTCCATAGGCCTCAAAACTCTCCAAATATACTCTTGCAGATTCTGCGAAAAGAGTGTTTCCAAACTGCTCAATAAAAGAAAGGTTCAACTCTGTGAGATGAACGTACACATCAAAAAGAAGTTTCTCAGAAATCTGTTTAGTTTTTAGGTGAAGATATTTCCATTTCCTTCATAGGCCTCAAAGCGCCTTAAACGTCCACTAACAGATTCTAAAAAAACAAACAAACAAACAAAAAAAAACTGCTCAATTAAAAAGAAAGGTTTAACTCTGTGACTTGAATACATACATCATGGTGAAGTTTCTCAAATTGCTTCTGTCTAGATTTTATGTGAAGATATATCCTTTCCTATCATAGGTCTCAAAGCACTCCAAATGTCCACTTGCAGATTCTACAAAAGAGAGTTTCGAAAGTGCTCATTCAAAGAAAATTTTAACTCTATGAGATGAATGCAGACATCACAAAGAAGTTTCTCAGATGGCTTCTGTCTAGATTTTATGTGAAGATATTTCTTTTTTTATCATAGGCCGAAAAGCACTCCAAATGTCCACTTGCAGATTCCACAAAAAGAGTTTCAAAACTGCTCAATCAAAAGAAAGGTTTAACTCTGTGAGATGAATGCACACATCAGAAAGAATTTTCTCAGATTGCTTCTGTCTAGATTTTATGTGAAGATATTTCCTTTTCTACCATAGGCCACAAAGCCCTCTGAATGTCCACTTGCAGATTCTACAAAAAGCATGTTTCCAAACTGCTCAATGAAAAGAAAGTTTCAACTCTGTGAGATGAACAGACACATCACAAGGAAGTTTCTCAGATTTCTTCTGTCTAGTTTTTATGTGAAGATATTTCCTTTTCCACCATAGGCCTGAAAATGCTGCACTTGTCTACGTCCAGATTCTACAAAAAGAGAGTTTCAAAACTGCTCAATTAAAAAAAGGTTTTAACTCTGTGTGATGAATGCACACATCACAAATAAGTTTCTCAGGTTGCTTCTGTCGAGATTTTATGTGAAGATATTTCCTTTTCTACCATAGGCCACAAAGCCCTCTGAATGTCCACTTGCAGATTCTACAAAAAGAGTGTTTCCAAACTGCTCAATCAAAAGAAATGTTCAACTCTGTGAGGTGAACGCACGCATCACAAAGAAGTTTCTCAGAATTCTTCTGTTTAGTTTTTACGTGAAGATATTTCATTTTCCACCATAGGCCTCAAGGTGTTCAAAATGTCCACTTGCAGATCCAACAAAAAGAGTATTCCAAAACTGACCCATCAAAAGAAAGCTTAAACTCTGGGTATGAATGCACACATCATGAAGAGGTTTCTCAGATTTCTTCTGTCTAGATTTTATGTGAAGATATTTCCTTTTCTACCATAGGCCGCAAAGCACTCCAAATATCCACTTGCAGATTCTACAAGAGTGTTTCCAAACTGCTCATTCAAAAGAATGGTTCAACTCTGTGAGGTGAACACACACATCACAAAAACTATCTCAGAATTCTTCTGTTTAGTTTTTATGTGAAGATATTTCCTTTTCCACCACAGGCCTCAAACTGCTCCAAATGTCCACTTGCAGACTTAAAAAAGAGAGTTTCAAAACTTCTCAATCAAAAGAAAGTTTTAACTCTATGAGATGAATGCACACATCACGAGGAAGTTTCTCAGATTTCTTCTGTCTAGATTTTATGTGAAGATATTTCCTTCTCTATCATAGGCCAAAAAGCTTTCCAAATGTCCACCTGCAGATACTACAAAAAGAGTGTTTCCAAACTCCTCAATCAAAAGAATGGTTCAACTCTTTGAGGTGAATGCACACATCACAAAGAAGTTTCTCAGAATTATTCTATCTAATATTTGTGTGAAGATATTACATTTTCCACCATAGGACTCAAGGTGCTCGAAATGTCCACTTGCAGTTTCCACAAAAGAGAGTTTCAAAACTGCTCTATCAAAAGACAGGTTTAACTCTGTGAGATGAATGTACACATCACAAAGATGTTTCTCAGAATGTTTCTATCTGATTTTTATGTGAAGATATTTCCTTTTCCACCATAGGCTTCAAAACACACAAAATGTCCACTTACAGATTCTACAAAAAGAGAGTTTCAAGACTGCTCAATCAAAAAAAAGGTTTAACTCTGTGAGATAAATGAACACATTACAAGGAAGTTTCTCAGATTGCTTCTGTCTAGATTTTATGTGAAGATATTTCCTTTTCCAGCATACGCCTCAAGGCGTACAATATGTCTGCTAGCGGATTCTTCAAAAAGAGGATTTCAAAACTGGTCCTTCAGAAGAAAGATTAAACTTTGAGATACGAATGTACACATCACAAAGAGGTTTCTCAGAATTCTTCTGTCCAGTTTTTATGTGAAGATATTTTCTTTTCCACCATAGGCCTCAAGACACTCGAATTGTCCACTTGCAGATTCTACAAAAACAGTATTTGAAAACTGGTCCTTCAAAAGAAATGCTCAAGTCAGGGACACGAATGCACATATCACAAAGAAGTTTCTCAGAAAGCTTCTATCTGGTTTTTATGTGAAGATATTTCCTTTTACACCATAGGCTTCAAAGCGCTCCAAACGTCCACTTGCACATTCTACAAAAAGAGAGTTTCAAAACTGCTCCATCAAAAGAAAGGTTCAAATCTGTGAGATGAACGTATGAATCACAAAGAAGTTTCTCAGAATTCTTCTCTCTAGTTTTTATGTGAAGGTATTTCCTTTTCCACCATAGGCCTCAAAGTGCTCCAAATGTCCAATTGCTAGATCTACAAAAAGATAGTTTCAAAACTTCTCCATCAAAAGAAATGTTTAACTCTGTGACATGAATGCACACATCACAAAGAAGTTTCTCAGGTTGCTTCTTTCTAGATTTTATGTGAAGATATTTCCTTTGCTACCATAGGTTGCAATGCACTCCAAATGTCCACTTGCAGATTCTACAAAAAGAATGTTCAAAACTGGAACAGACCTGCAGCTGAGGGTCCTGTCTGTTAGAAGGAAAACTAACAAACAGAAAGGACATCCACAACAAAAACCCATCTGTACATCACCGTCATCAAGGACCAAAAGTAGATAAAACCACAAAGATGGGGAAAAAACAGAGCAGAAAAACTGGAAACTCTAAAAAGCAGAGTGCCTCTCCTCCTCCAAAGGAACGCAGTTCCTCACCAGCAACGGAACAAAGCTGGATGGAGAATGACTTTGATGAGCTGAGAGAAGAAGGCTTCAGATGATGAAATTATTCTGAGCTACGGAAGGACATTCAAACCAAAGGCAAACAAGTTGAAAACTTTGAAAAAAATTTAGAAAAATGTAGAACTAGAATAACCAATACAGTGAAGTGCTTAAAGGAGCTGATGGAGCTGAAAACCAAGGCTCAAGAACTACGTGAAGAATGCAGAAGCCTCAGGAGCCGATGCGATCAACTGGAAGAAAGAGTATCAGCGATGGAAGATGAAATGAATGAAATGAAGTTAGAAGGGAAGTTTAGAGAAAAAAGAATAAAAAGAAATGAGCAAAGCCTCCAAGAAATATGGGACTATGTGAAAAGACCAAATCTACGTATGATTGGTGTACCTGAAAGTGATGGGGAGAATGGAACCAAGTTGGAAAACACTCTGCAGGATATTATCCAGGAGAACTTCCCCAATCTAGCAAGGCAGTCCAACGTTCAGATTCAGGAAATACAGAGAACGCCACAAAGATACTCCTCGAGAAGAGCAACTCCAAGACACATCATTGTCAGATTCACCAAAGCTGAAATGAAGGAAAAAATGTTAAGGGCAGCCAGAGAGAAAGGTCGGGTTACCCTCAAAGAGAAGCCATCAGACTAACAGTGGATCTCTCGGCAGAAACCCTACAAGCCAGAAGAGAGTGGGGGCCAATATTCAACATTCTTAAAGACAAGAATTTTCAACCCAGAATTTCATACCCAGCCAAACTAAGCTTCATAAGTGAAGGAAAAATAAAATACTTTACAGACAATCAAATGTTGAGAGATTGTGTCACCAGCAGGCCTGCCCGAAAAGAGCTCCTGAAGAAAGCACTAAACATCGAAAGGAACAACCGGCACCAGCCGCTGCAAAATTATGCCAAAATGTAAAGACCATCGAGACTAGGAAGAAACTGCATCAACTAACGAGCAAAATCACCAGCTAACATCATCATGACAGGATCAAATTCACACATAACAATATTAACTTTAAATGTAAATGGACTAAATGCTCCAATTAAAAGACACAGACTGGCAAATTGGATAAAGAGTCAAGACCCATCAGTGTGCTCTATTCAGGAAACCCATCTCACGTGCAGAGACACACATAGGCTCAAAATAAAAGAATGGAGGAAGATCTACCAAGCAAATGGAAAACAAAAAAAGGCAGGGGTTGCAATCCTAGTCTCTGATAAAACAGACTTTAAACCACCAAAGATCAAAAGAGACAAAGAAGGCCATTACATAATGGCAAAGGGATCAATTCAACAAGAAGAGCTAACTATCCTAAATATATATGCACTCAATACAGGAGCACCCAGATTCATAAAGCAAGTGCTTAGTGACCTACAAAGAGACTTAGACTCCCACACATTAATAATGGGAGACTTTAACACCCCACTGTCAACATTAGACAGATCAACAAGACAGAAAGTCAACAAGGATACCCAGCAATTGAACTCAGCTCTGCACCAAGCGGACCTAATAGACAACTATTCTACCGCACTCCACTAAACTCCACTCCACTCCAGTCCACTCGATTACTTTAAATTCCATTCCACTCCATTACACTGCAGTCCGATCCACTCCACTCAACTCTACTCCACTCCACTCCATTCCATTCCATTCTGTTGCATTCTCCTCTGTTACGTTGCATTCCACTCCATTCCATTACACTCCAAACCACTACATTCCACTCCACTGCACTCCACTCCACTGCACTCCACTCCACCCCACTCCATTCCACTCCACTCCATTCCACTCCTCTCCATTCCACTCCACTCCACTCCATTCCACTACATTCCTTTCCATTCCATTCCATTCCATTCCTTTCCATTCCACAGCAATCCGATCCACTCCACTCAACTCCATTCCACTCCACTCCTTTCCGTCCGTTCTATACCATTCTGTTCCATTCATTCCATTCTGTTCCTTTCCATTGCATTCCAATCCACTCCATTCCATTCCACTCTATTCCAGTTTACTCAACACCACTCCATTCCATTCCACTCCTATCCACTCCACCCCACTCCACTCCATTCCATTCCATTCCATTCCATTCCATTCCATTCCACTGCACTCCGATCCACTCCACACAATTCCACTCCATTCCACTCCATTCTATTCCGTTCCATTCCATTCTGTTCTGGTACGTTCCTTTCCATTCCATTAAACTCCATTCCATTCCACTCCACTCCACTCCACTCCATTCCACTCCATTCTACTCCATTCCACTTCCCTCCACTACAATCCACTCCAATACACTCCACTCCATTCCACTCCATTCATTCCATTCCAATCCATTCCATTCCAATTCATTCCACTCCCTTCCACTCCAGTCCACTCCATTCCATTCCACTGCACCCCATTCCACTCACTCCCCTCCACTTCATTCCACTCCACTTCATTCCACTCTATTCCTTCCACTCCACTCCACTCCATTTCATTCCATTCCACTCCATTCCACTCCACTCCAATCCACTCCCCTCCATTCCACTCCACTCCATTCTATTCCACTTCATTCCATTCCACTCCACTCCATTCCATTATATTCTACTGCATTTCAATCCATTCTTTTACTTCGACTATATCTCACTCTGTCTCCCAGACTAGAGTGCAGTGGCACAATCTTAGCTCACATTTCATTGCATGATTCCACTCCATTTCATTCAATTTGCATTTCATTCCATTCCATTCCACTGCTATCCCATCCACTCCACTCAACTCCACTCCACTCCATTTCATTCCACTCCATTCCACTCCATTCCACTCCACTCCACGCCACTGCTCTAAACTCTAATCCATTCCATTCCACTCCACTCCAATAAAATCCACTCCACTCAACTAAATTTCATTAAATTATTTTCCATTCCATTCCAAAGCATTCCCATCCATTCCACTCAACTCTACTCCACTCAACTCCACTCCGTTCCATTCCTTTCCACTCTGTTCATGTTTGTGTTCCGTTCCATTCCACTCCATTCCATTCCACACCACTCCACTCCTTTCCACTCCACTGCACTCCACTCCACTCCATTCCACTCCAATCCACTGCACTCCACTCCACTCCATTCCACTACACTCCTTTCCATTCCATTCCATTCCATTCCATTCCTTTCCTTTCCTTTCCATGGCAATCCAATCCATTCCAGTCAACTCCACTCCACTCCATTCCTTTTCATTCCATTCCATTCCGTTCTATTCTATTCCATTCCACTCCATTCCATTCCATTCCACTCCACTGCATTTCATTCCACTCCATTCAACTACACTCCACTCCACTAGAATCCACTCCAATACATTCCATTCCATTCCATTCCATTTCATTCCACTGCACTCCGATCCACTCCACTCAACTCCACTCCACTCCATTCGATTCCATTCCGTTCTGGTCAGTTCCATTCTGTTCCATTCCACTCCATTTCATTCCGCTCCACTCCACTCCACTCCATTTCACTCCATTAGACTCCACTCTGTTCCATTCCATTCCATTCCATTCCATTCCATTCCATTCCATTCCATTCCTTTCTGTTCCTTTCCATTCCATTCCACTCCACTACATTCCATTCCACTCCATTCCACACTACTGCACTCAACTCCACTCAATCCACCCCACGCCACTCCCCTAAATTCCATTCTATTTCATTCCATTCCATTCCATTCCCCTCCACTCCGATCCCCTCCAATCAACTCCATTCCACTCCACTCTGCTCCTTTCAATTCCATTCCATTCTCTTCCTTTCCATTCCTTTCCATTCCATTCCATTCCATTCCATTCCATACCATTCCACTCCACTCTATTTCATTCCACTCTATTCAACTTCTTACCACTCCCCTCCACTCCACTCTATTCCATTCCAGTCCATTCCATTCAATTCCACTGCACTCTGATCAACTCCACTCCACTCCACTCCACTAGATTCCTTTAAGTTCCGTTCCATTCCTTTCTGCTCCATTCCGTTACATTCAACTCCATTCCATTCCATTCCACTTCATTCCACTCCACTCTATTTCACTCCATTCCACTCCACTCCACTCCAATCCATTCCAATCCATTCCATTCCTTTCCATTCCACTGCACTCTGATACACTCCACTCAACTCCATTCCACTCCCCTCTACTCCACTCTGTTCCACTCCATTCCATTCCATTCTGTTCCATTCCATTCCATTCCACTCCACTCCATTGCATTCCAATCCTTACCACTCCAATCCACTCCACTTTTCTCCACTCCACTACCCAGAAGCATTCTGAGAAACTTCTTTGTGAGGTGTGCAGTCAACTCACAGATTTGAACCTATCTCTTGAATGAGCAGTTTTGAATCTCTCTTTTTGCAGAATCTGCAAGTGGATATTTGGAACTTTTTGAGGCCTAATGAGGGAAAGCAAACATCTACGCCTAAAAATTACACAGAAGCATTGTGAGAATCTTTTTTGTTAGGTGTGCATTCAACTCACAGAGTCGAAAATATCTTTTGATTGAGCTGTTTTGAATCACTCTTTTTGCAGAATCTGCAAGTAGATATTAAAGACCTCTGAGGTCTTCTGTGGAAAAGGAAATATCTTCAGATAATAACTACACAGAAGCATTCTGAAAAACTTCTTTGTGATGTGTGTATTCAACTCAAAGAGTTGAACCTATCTTTGGATTGAGCAGTTTTGAATCTCTCTTTTGGCAGAATCTGCAAGTGGATATTTGGAGAGCTTTCAGGCCTACTGTGGAAAAGCAAATATCTTCAAATACAAACTACACAGAAGCATTCTGAGAAACTTCTCTGTGAGGTGTGCATTCAACGCACAGAGTCAAACCACTCTATTGATTGAGCAGTTTTGAATCTCTCTTTTTGTAGAATCTGCAAGGGCATAGTTGGAGAGCTTTGAGGCCTATTGTGGAAAAGGAAGTATCTTCAAATAAAAACTACACAGAAGCATTATGAGAAAATTCTTTGCGATGTGTCCATTCAACTCACAGAGTTGAACTTATCTCTTGATGGAGCAGTTTTGAATCTCTCTTTTTGTAGAATCTTCAAGTTGATATTTGGAGCCCTTTGTGGCCTGCGGTGGAAAAGGAAATATCTTCACATAAAAACTACACAGAAGCATTCTGAGAAAGTTATTTGTGATGTGTGCATTCATCTCACAGGGTTGAACCTATCTTATGATTGAGCAGTTTTGATACACTCTTTTTGTTTAATGAGCAAATGGATATTTGGAACGCTTTGAGGCCTACTGTGGAATCGCAAATATCTTCACCTAAAAACTACACAAAATCATTCTGAGAAACTATTTGTGACGTGTGCATTCAACTCACAGAGTTGAACCTATGTTTTGATTGAGCCATTTTTAAACTCTCTTTTGGTACAATCTGCAACTTGATATTTGGAGCCCTTTGTGCTTTATGATTGAAAAGGAAATATCTTCACATACAAACTACACAGAAGCGTTCTGAGAAACTACTTTGTGATGTGTGCATTCCACTGACAGTCGAACCTCTCTTTTGATGGAGAAGTTTTGAATCTCTTTTTGCAGAATCTGCAAGTGGATATTTGGAGAGCTTTGAGGCCTATTGGGGAAAAGGAAATATCTTCATGTAAAAACTACACAGAAGCATTCTGAGAAACTTCTTTGTGATGTGTGCATTCAACTGACAGAGTTGAACCTAGCTTTTGATTAAACAGTTTTGAATCTCTTTTTTTGTAGAATCTGTGAGTGGATATTTGGAGCCCTTTGTGGCCTATGGTGGAAAAGGAAATATGTTCAAATAAAAACTACACAGAAGCATTCTGAGAAACTTCGTTTTGATGTGTGCATTCATCTCACAGGACGAACCTACCTTATGATTGAGCAGTTTTGAAACACTCTTTTTGTAGAAATCAGCATGTGGATATTTGGAGCACTTTGGGGTCTATTGTGGAAAAGCAAATATGTTCACATAAACACTACACAGAAGCATTCAGAGAAACTTCTTTGTGATGTGTGCATTCACCTCACAGAGTTGATTCTTTATTTTGATGGAGCAGTTATGAAACACTGTTTTTGTAGAGTCTGCAAGTGGATATTTGGAGCGATATCAGCCCTATTGTGGAAAAGGAAATATCTTAACATAAAAGCTACACAGAAGCATTCTGATAAACTTCTTTGTGATGTGTGCATTCAATTCACAGAGTTGAACCTTTCTTTTGATTGAGCAGTATTGAATCTCCTTTTTTTTGGAATCTGCAGTTGGATATTTGGAGCCCTTTGCGGCCTATGGTGGAAAAGGAAATACCTTCAAATAAAAACTACACAGAAGCATTCTGAGAAACTTCTTTGTGATGTGTCCATTCATTTCACAGAATTGATCCTTTCTTTTTATTCATCAGTTTTGAAACAATCCTTTTATAGAATCTGCAAGTACATAATTGGAGCACTTTGAGGCCTACCGTGGAAAAGCAAATATCTTCACATAAAAACTACACAGAAACATTCTGAGAAACTTTTTGGTGGTGTGCACATTCATGTCACAGAGTTGAACATTTATTTTGATTGAGCAGTTTTGAATCTCCTTTTTTTAGAATCTGCAATTGGATATTTCAATCCCTTTGTGGCCTATGGTGGAAAAGGAAATACCTTCAAATAAAAACTACACAGAAGCATTCTGAGAAACTTCTTTGTGATGTGTCCATTCATTTCACAGAGTTGATCCTTTCTTTTTATTCAGCAGTTTTGAAACACTCACTTTACAGGATCTGCAAGTAGATATTTGGATCGCTTTGAGGCCTAACATGGAAAAGCAAATATCTTCACATAAAGACTACACAGAAATGAGCAGTTTTGAATCTCCTTTTTTTAGAATCTGCAATTGGATATTTCGATCCCTTTGCGGCCTATGGTGGAAAAGGAAATACCTTCAAATAAAAGCTACACAGAAGCATTCTGAGAAACTTCTTTGTGATGTGTCCATTCATTTCACAGAGTTGATCCTTTCTTTTTATTCAGCAGTTTTGAAACACTCCTTTTATAGAATCTGCAAGTACATATTTGGAGCGCTTTGAGGCCTACCGTGGAAAAGCAAATATCTTCACATAAAAACTACACAGAAACATTCTGAGAAACTTTTTTGTGGTGTGCACATTCATGTCACAGAGTTGAACGTTTCTTTTGATTGAGCAGTTTTGAATCTCCTTTTTTTAGAATCTGCATTTGGATGTTTTGATCCCTTTGTGGCCTATGGTGGAAAAGGAAATAACTTCAAATAAAAACTACACAGAAGCATTCTGAGAAACTTCTTTGTGATGTGTGTATTCAACTCACAGAGTTGAACCTATCTGCTAATTGGGCAGTTTTGAATCTCTCTTTTTGCAGAATCTGAAAGTTGCTATTTGGAGAGCTTTGAGGCCTATTGTAGAAAAGGAAATATCTTCACATAGAAACTACACAGAAGCATTCTGAGAAACTTCGTTGTGAGGTGTGTATTCAAAACACAGAGTTGAACCTACCTTTTGAATGAGCAGCTCTGAATCTCCCTTTTTGCAGAATCTGCAAGTGGATATGTGGAGAGTTTTGAGGCCTATTGCTGAAAAGGAAATATCTTCAAATAAGAACAAAACAGAAGCATTCTGAGAAACTTCTTTGTGATGTGTTCATTCATCTCAAAGAGTTGAAACTTTCTTTTGATTGAGGAGTTTTGAAACACACTTTTTGTAGAATCTGCAAGTGGATATTTGGAGCGATTTGAGGCCTATTGTGGAAAAGGAAGTATCTTCACTTAAAAACTACACAGAAGCATTCTGGGAAACTTCTCTGGGATGTGTGCATTCATCTCACAGAATTGAACGCATCTTATGATTGAGCAGTTTCCAATCTCTCTTTTTGTAGAATCTGCAAGTGGATATTTGCAGCCCTTTGTGCCCTATTGTTGAAAAGGAAATATCTTCAAGTAAAAACTACACAGAAGCATTCAGAGAAACTTCTTTGAGAGGAGTGCATTCATCACACAGTGTTGAACGTTACTTTTCATTGAGCAGTTTTGAAACACTCTTTGTAGAATCTGGAAGTGGATATTTGGAGGGCTATGAGGCCTATTTTGGAAAAGAGTATATCTTAACATAAAAACTACACAGAAGCATTCTGAGAAACTCCTTTGTTATGTGTGCATTCAACATCCAGAGTTGAACCTATCTTTTGATTGAGCAGTTTTGATTCTCTCTTTTTGCAGAATCTTCAAGTGGATATTTGTAGCGATTTGGGGCCTACGGTGGAAAAGCAAATACTTCAAATAAAAACTACACAGAAGAATTCTGAGAAACTTTTTTGGAGATGTGCATTCAACTCACAGAGTCGAAACTACCTCCTTATTGAGCACTTTTGAATCTCTCTTTTTGCAGAATCTGCAAGTGGATATTTGGAGAGCTTTGAGGCCTATTGTGGAAAAGCAAATATGTTCACATAAAAACTACACAGAAGCATGCTGAGAAACCTCTTTGTGATGTGTTCATTCATCTCACAAAGTTGAAACTTTCTTTTGATTGAGCAGTTTTGAAACACTCTTTTTGTAGTATCTGCAAAGGGATACCTGGAGCGGTTTGAGGCCTATTGTGGAAAAGGAAGTATCTTCACTTAAAAACTACACAGAAGCATTCTGAGAAACTTCTTTGTGATGTGTGCATTCAACTCACAGAGTTGAACCTTTCTTTTGATTGAGCAACTTTGAATCTCTCTTTTTGTAGAATCTTCAAGTCCATATTTGGAGCCCTTTGCACCCTATTGTGGAAAATGAAATATCTTCAAATAAAAACTACACAGAAGTATTCAGAGAAACTTCTTTGTGATGAGTGCATTCATCACACAGAGTTGAACCTTTCCTTTGATTGAGCAATTTTGAAACACTCTTTTTGTGGAATCTGGAAGTGTATATTTCAAGAGCTTTGAGGCCTATTTTGGAAAAGGAAATATCTTCACATAAAAACTACACAGAAGCATTCCGACAAACTTCTTTGTTATGTGTTCATTCAACTCACAGATTTGAACGTATTTTTTGATTGAGAAGTTTTCAATCTCTCTTTTTGTAGAATCCGTAAGTAGATATTTGGAGCCCTTTGCACCCTATGGTGGAAAAGGAAATATCTTTAAATAAAAAGAGCACAGTAGCATTCTGAGAAACTTCTTTGTGATGAGTGCATTCATCTCAGAGAGTTGAACCCTTCCTTTGATTGATCAATTTTGCAACACTCTTTTTGTAGAATCTGGAATTGGATATTTGGAGGGCTTTGAGGCCTATGGTGGAAAAAGAAATATCTTCACATAAAAACTGAACAGAAACATTCTGAGAAACTTCTTTGTTATATATGCATTAAACTTAAAGAGTTGAACAGATCTTTTGATTGAGCAGTTTGGAATCTCTCTTTTGTAGACTTTGTTATTGAATATTTAGAGCCCTTTGCAGCATATGGTGGAAAAGGAAATATCTTCAAATAAAAACTACATACACAGAAGCATTCTGGGAAACTTCTCTGTGATGTGTGCATTCATCTCACAGGGTTGAACGTATCTTCTGATTGAGCAGTTTCCAATCTCTCTTTTTGTAGAATCTGCAAGTGGATATTGGGAGCTCTTTGTGCCCTAAAGTTGAAAAAGAAATATCTTCAAATAAAAACTACACAGAAGCATTCAGAGAAACTTCTTTGTGAGGAGTGCATTCATCACACAGTGTTGAATGTTTATTTTCATTGAGCAAATTTGAAACACTCTTTTTGTAGAATCTGGAAGTGGATATTTGGAAGGCTTTGAGGCCTATTTTGGAAAAGGGTATATCTTAACATAAAAACTACACAGAAGCATTCTGAGAAACTCCTTTGTTATGTGTGAATTCAACACACAGAGTTGAATCTATCTTTTGATTGAGCAGTTTTGAATCTCTCTTTTTGCAGAAACTTCAAGTGGATATTTGTAGCGCTTTGAGGCCTACTGTGGAAAAGCAAATATCTTCAAATAAAAACTACACAGAAGAATTCTGAGAAACTTCTTTGGAGATGTGCATTCAACTCACAGAGTTGAACCTATGTCTTGATTGAGCAGTTTTGAATCTCTCTTTTTGCAGAATCGGCAAGTGGATATTTGGAGAGCTTTGAAGCCTATTGTGGAAAAGGAAATATCTTCACATAAAAACTACACAGAAGCATTCTGAGAAACATGTCTGTGGTGAGTGCATTCAGCTCACAGAATTGAACCTATCTTTTGATTGAGCAGTTTTGAAACTGTTTTTGTAGAATCTACAAGTGGATATTTGGATCGATTTGAGGCCTACTGTAGAAAAGGAGATATCTTCACATAAAACCTACACAGAAGCATTCTGAGAAACTTCTTTTTGATGGGTGTCTTCAACTCACAGAGTTGAACCTATCTTTTGATTGACCCGTTTTTAAACTATCTTTTTGTAGAATCTGCAAGTGGATATTTGGAGCCCTTTGCGCTCTATGGTGGAAAAAGAAATATCTTCAAATAAAAATTACACAGAAGCATTCAGAGAAACTTCTTTGTGATGAGTGCATTCATCACACAGAGTTGAAATCCTCCTCTGATTGAGCAGTTTTGAAACACACTTTTTGCAGTATCTGCAAGTTGATATTTGGAGAGCTTTGAGGCCCATTGTGGAAAAAGAAATATTTTCACATAAAAATTTCACAGAAGCATTTTGGGAAACTTTTCTGTGATGCGTGCATTCAACTAACAGAGTTGAACCTATCTTTTGATTGGGCAGTTTTGAATCTCTCTTTTTGTACAATCTGCAAGTGGATATTTGGAGCCCTTTGTGGCCTATGGTGGAAAAGAAAATATCTTCAAATAAAAACTACACAGAAGCATTCTGAGAAACTTGATTGTGATGTGTGCATTCATCTGGCAGGGTTGAACCTTTCTTTTGATTGGGAAGTTTTGAAACACTCTATTGTGGAAAAGGAAGTATCTTCACATAAAAATTACACAGAAGCATTCTGAGAAACATCTTTGTGATGTGTGCATTCATCTCACAAGGTTGAACCTATCTTATAATTGAACAGATTTCTATTTCTCTTTTTGTAGAATCTGCAAGTGGATATTTGGAACCATTTGCGTCCTATGGTGGAAAGGGAAATATCTTCAAATAAAAACTACACAGAAGAATTCTGAGAAAAGTCTTTGTGATCTGTGCATTCATCTCAGAGGGTTCAACCTATCTTATGATAGAGCAGTTTTGAAACACTCTTTCTGTATAATCGGCAAGTGGATATTATGAGCGCTTTGAGGCCTACTTTGGAAAAGCACATATCTTAACCTAAAAACTACACAAAAACATTTTGAGAAACTTCTTTGTGATGTGTGCGTTCACCTCACAGAGTTGAAGCTTTCTTTTGATTGAGTAGTTTTGAAACACTCTTTTTGTAGAATCTGCAAGTGGATATTTGGAGTGATTTCAGGCCTATTGTGGAAAAGGAAATATCTTCAAATAAAAACTACACAGAAGCATTCTGAGAAACTTCTTTGTGATGTGTGCATTCAACTCAGAGAGTTGAACCTATCTTTTGATTGAGCCGTTTTGAATCTCTCTTTTTGTAGAATCTGCAAGTGAATATTTGGAGCCCTTTGTGCTCTTTGGTGGAAAAGGATATATCTTCAAATAAATACTACACAGAAGCATTCAGAGAAACTTCTTTGTGATGAGTGCATTCATCACACAGAGTTGAAACCTTCCTTTGATTGAACAGTTTTGAAACACTCTTTTTGCAGTATCTGCAAGTTGATATTTGGAGAGCTTTGAGGCCCATTGTGGAAAACGAAATATCTTCACATGAAAACTACACAGAAGCATTCTGGGAAACTTCTTTGTGATATGTGCATTCAACTCAGAGAGTTGAATCTATCTTTGGACTGGGCAGATTTGAATCTCTCTTTTGTAGAATCTGCCAGTCGATATTTGGAGCCCTTTGAGGCCTATAATGGAAAAGGAAATATCTTCAAACTGAAACTACACAGAAGCATTCTGAGAAACATCCTTGTGATGTGTGCATTTGTCTCACAGAATTTAACCGTTCTTTTGATTGAGCTGTTTGGAAACACTTTTTGTAGAATCTGCAAGTGGATATTTGGAGCGATTTGAGGCCTATTTTGAAAAAGGAAATATCTTCACATAAATACTGCACAGAAGCATTCTGCGAAACTTCTTGTTATGTGTGCATTCAACTCACAGTGTTGACCCTATCTTTTGATTCAGCATTTTTAAATCTCTCTTTCTGTAGAATCTGCAAGTGGATACTTGGAGCACTTTGTGCCCTATGATGGAAAATGAAATATCTTCAAATAAAAACTACACAGAAGCATTCTGGGAAACTTCTTTGAGAAAAATGCATTCACCACACAGAGTTGAACCTTTCTATTCACTGAGTAGTTTTGAAACACTTTTTTTGTAGAATCTGGAAGTGAATATGTGAAGGGCTTTGTGGTCTATTTTGGAAAAGGAAATATCTTCGGATAAAAACTACACAGAAGCATTCTGGGAAACTTCCTTGTTATGTGTGCATTCAACTCATGGATTTGAACCTATCTTTTGATAGAGTAGTTTTGAAACTCTCTTTTGGTAGAATCTGTAAGTGGATATTTGGGGAGCTTTGCAGCCTATGGTAGAAAATGGAATACCCTCACATAAAATATAGACAGAAGCAAACTGAGAAATTTTTTTATGATGTGTGCATTTATCTCACAGAGTTAAAACTTTCTCTTGATTGAGCAATTTTGCGACTCTCTTTTCATAGAATCTGGAAGTGGACATTTGGAGCTCTTAAAGGCCTATGGTGGAAAAGGAAATATCTTCACATAAAATCCAGACAGAAGCAATCTGAGAAACTTCTTTGTGATGTTGCATTCATCTCACAGAGTTAAATCTTTCTTTTGATTGAGGAGTTTTGAAACACTCCTTTTGTAGAATCTGCAAGTGGATATTTGGATCACATTGAGGCCCATCGTGGAAAAGGAAGTATCTTCATATAAAAACTAGACAGAAGAATTCTGAGAAACATCTTTGGGATGAGTGCGTTCATCTCACATAGTCAAAAATTTCTTTTGATTGAGCTGTTTGGAAACACTCTTTTTGTAGAATCTGCAAGTGGACCTTTGGAGCGCTTTGAGGCCTATGGTAGAAAAGGAAAGATATTCACATTAAAATCTAGATAGAGGCAATCTGAGAAAGTTCTTTGTGATGTGTGCATTCATCCCACACAGTTAAACCTTTCTTTTGATTCAGTAGTTTTGAAACTCTCTTTTTGTAGAATCTGCAAGTGGATATTTGGAGAGATTTTAGACCTATGGGGGAAAAGGAAATATCTTCACATAAAAACTAGATAGAAGAATTCTGAGAAACTTCTTTGTGATGTCTGTGTTCATCTCATAGAGCTGAACATTTCTTTTGATTGAGCAGTTTGGAAACATTCTTTTTGTAGAATCTTCAAGTGGACATTTGGAGTGCTTTGCAATCTATGGTATAAAAGGAAATATCTTCACATAAAATCTAGACAGAAGCAACCTGATAAACTTCTTTGTGATATGTGCGTTCATCTCACAGGGTTGAAGTTTTCTTTTGATGGACCAGATTTGAAACTCTCTTTTTGTAGAATCTGCAAGTGGACATTTAGAGTGCTTTGTGGCCTATGGTGGAAAATAATGTATCTTCACATAAAAACTAGACAGAAGAATTCTGAGAAACTTCTTTATGATGCCTGTGTTCTTCTCACAGATTTGAACCTTCCTTTGATTGAGAAGTTTGGAAACACTCCTTTTGTAGAATCTGCAAGTGGACATTTGGAGCGCTTTGGGGCCTATGGTATAAAAGGAAATATCTTCACATAAATTGTAGACAGAAGCAATATGAGAAACTTCTTTGTGATGTGTGCATTCATCTCACAGAGTTAAAACTTCCTTTTGATTGAGCAGTTTTGAAGCTCTCTTTTTGTAGAACCTGCACGTGGACATTTGGGGCGTTTTGAGGCCTACGGTGGAAAAGGAAATATCTTCGCATAAAAACTAGACAGAAGCATTCTGAGAAACTACTTTGTGATGTGTGCATTCATCTCACAGAGTTGAACCTTTCTTTTTATTGAGCAGTTTGGAAAAATCTTTGTAGTAGAATCTTCAGGTGGACATTTGGAGTGCTGTGCAGCCTAGGCTGGAAAAAGAAATATCCTCACATAAAATCTAGACAGAAGCAATCTGATTAACTTCTTTGTGATGTGTGCATTCATCTCACAGAGTTAAAACTTTCTTTTGATTGAGCCCTTTGTAAACTCTCTTTCTGTAGAATCTTCAAGTGGATATTTGGAGTGCTTAAAGGCCTATGACAGAAAAGGAAATATCTTCATATAAAAACAAATCAGAAGAACTCTGAGAAACTTCTTTGTGATGTGTGCATTCATCTCACAGAGTTGAAACTTTCTTTTGATTGAGGAGTTCAGAAACACTCTTTTTGTAGGATCTGCAAGTGGATATTTGGAGTGCTTTGTGGCCTATGGCAGAAAAGGAAATATCTTCAGACAAAATCTAGACAAAAGCAATCTGAGAAACTTATTTGTGATGTGTGCGATCATCTGAAAGAGGTAAACTTTTTTTGATGCACGAGTTTTGAAACTCTCTGTTTGTAGAATCTGCAAGTGCACATTTGGAGCGCTTTGAGGACTATGGTTGGAAAGCAAATATCTTCAAATGAAAACTAGGCAGAATTCTGAGAAACGACTTGGCGATGTGTGCATTCATCTAACAGAGTTGAATCTTTCTTTTGATTGAGCAGTTTGGAAACACTCTTTTTGTAGAATCTGCAAGTGGACATTTAGAGCGCTTTGCGGCCTATGGTAGAAAAGGAAATATCTTCACATAAAATCTGGACAGAAGCAATCTGAGAAACTTCTTTGTGATGTGTGCATTCATCTCACAGAGTTAAAGCTTTGTTTTGATTTAACAGTTTTGAAACTCTCTTTTTGTAAAACCTACAAGTGGATATTTGGAGCACTTTGAGGCCTATATTGGAAAAGGAAATATCTTCATATAAAATATAGACAGAAGTAATCTGATAAACTTCTTTGTGATTGGTGCATTCATCTCAGAGGGTTGAAGTTTTCCTTTGATGGAGCAGATTTGAAACTCTCTTTTTGTAGAATCTTCAAGTGGATATGTAGAGTGCTTTGTGGCCTATGGTGGAAAATAACATATCTTCACATAGAAACTAGACAGAAGAATTCTGAGAAACTTCTTTGTGATGCGTGCATTGTTCTCACAGAGTTGAACCTTCCTTTAGATTGAGCAGTTTGGAAACTCTCTTTTTGCAGAATCTGCAAGTGGACATTTGGAGCGCTTTGGGGCCTATAGCATAAAAGGAAATATCTTCACATAAATTGTAGACAGAAGCAATCTGAGAAACTTCTTTGTGATGTGTGCATTCATCTCACAGAGTTAAAGCTTTCTTTTGATTGAGCAGTTTTGAAACTCTCTTTTTGTAGAATCTGCAAGTGGACAATTTGAGCACCTTGAGGCCTCTGGTGGAAAATGAAATATCTTCACATAAAAAACTAGACAGAAGAATTCTGGGAAACATCTTTGTGATGTCTGCATTCATCTTACAGAGTTGAACCTTTCTTTTGATTGAGGAGTTTGGAAAGAGTCTTTTTGTAGAATCTGAAAATGGATATTTGGAGTGCTTTGCAGTCTGTGGCAGAAAAGGAAATATCTTCAGACAAAATCTAGACAGAAGCAATTTGAGAAACTTCTTTGTGATGTGTGCATTCATCAGAAAGAGGTTAACATTTTTTTTTTGATGAAGGAGTTTTGAAACTCTCTGTAGAATCTGCAAGTGGACATTTGGAGCACTTTGAGGACTATGGTGGGAAAGGAAATATCTTCACATAAAAACTAGACAAAAGAATTCTGAGAAACTTCTTTGTGATGTGTGCGTTCATCTGACAGAGTTCAATCTTTCTTTTGAATGAGGAGCTTGGAAACATTCTTTTTGTAGAATCTGCAAGTGGACATTTGGAGCGCTTTGCGGCCTATGATAGAAAAGGAAATATCTTCACATAATATCTAGACAGAAGCAATCTGAGCAGCTTCCTAGTGATGTGTTCATTCATCTCACAGAGTTAAACCTTTCTTTTAATTCAGAAGTTTTGAAACTCTCTTTTTGTAGAATCTGCAAGTGGACATTTGGAGCACTTTGAGGCCTATGGTAGAAAAAGAAATATCATAACATAAAATCTATACAGAAGAAATCTGAGAAACTTCTTTGTGAAGTGTGCATTCATCTCACAGAGTTGAACCTTTCTTCTGATTGAAGAGCTTTGAAACTCTCTTTTTATAGAATCTTCAAGTGGACATTTGGAGTGCTTTGAGGTGTATGGTGGAAAAAGAAATATCTTCACATACAATCTAGACAGAAGCAAGAAGAGAAACTTCTTTGTGATGTGTGCATTCATCTGACAGAGTTGGACCTTTCTTTTGATGGAGCAGTTTTGAAACTCTCTTTTTGTAGAATCTGAAAGTGGACATTTGGAGCGTTTTGCAGGCTATGGTAGAAAAGGAAATATCTTCACATGACATCTAGACTGAAGCAATCTGAGAAACTTCTTTGTGATGTTTGCATTCATCTCACAGAGTTAAACCTTTCTTTTGATGGACCAGTTTTGAAATATTCTTTTGTAGAACCTGCAAGTGGACATTTCGAGCGCCTTGAGGCCTATATTGGAAAATAAATTATCTTCACATAAAAACTAGACAGAAGAACTCTGAGAAACTTTTTTGTGATGCGTGCATTCATCTCACAGAGTTGAACTTTCTTTTGGTTGCACAGTTTGGAAACACTCTTTTTGTAGAATCTGCAAGTGGACATTTGGATCGCTTTGGAGTATATGGTAGAAAAAGAAATATCTTCACATACAATCTAGACAGAAGCAATCTGAGAAACTACTTTGTGATGTCTGCATTAAAAATGTCCACTTGCAGATTCTACAAAAAGAGTGTTTCAAAACTACTCTATCAAAAGAAACGTTTAACTCTGTGGATGAATGCAAACATGAGAAACAAGTTTCTCAGATTGCTTCTGTCTATATTTTATGTGAGGATATTTCCTTTTCTATCATAGGGCGCAAACCGCTCCAAACGTCCCCTTGCAGATTCTACAAAAAGAGTGTTTCCAAACTGCTCAATCAAAAGAAAGGTTCAAGTCTGTGAGATAAACGCACACATCACAAAGAAGTTTCTCAGAATTCTTCTGTCTAGTTTTATGTGAAGATACTTCCTTTTCCACCATAGGCCTCAAAGCGCTCCAAATGTCCACATGCAGATTCAACAAAAAGAGATTTTCCAAATTGTTCAATCAAAAGAAAGGCTCAACCTTGTGAGATTAACGAACGTCAAAAAGATGTCTGTCAGCATTCTTCTGTCTAGTTTCTATGTGAAGATAGTTCCTTTTCCACTATGGTCCTCAAAGCACTCCAAATGCTGACTTGAAGATTCTACAAAAAGAGCACTTCAAAACTGTTCAATCAAAAGAAAGGTTCAACTCCGTGAGATGAATACACACATCACAAAGAAGTTTCTCAGAAGTCTTCTGTCTAGATTTTTGTGAAGATATTTCCTTTTCCACCATAGTTCTAAAAGCGCTCCAAATGTCCACTTGCAGATTCTACAAAAAGAGAGTTTCAAAACTGCTCAATCAAAAGAAAGATTTAACTCTGTGAGATTAACGCACACATCAAACGGATGTTTCTCAGATTGCTTCTGTCCTGATTTTATGTGAAGATATTTCGTTTTCTACCATAGGCAGCATAGCGCTCCAAATATCCACCTGCAGATTGTACAAAAAGAGTGCTTCCAAACTGCTCAATCAAAGAAAGGTTCAACTCTGTGAGATGAACTCACTCATCACAAAGAAGTTTCTCAGAATTATTCTGTCTGGTTTTTATGTGAAGATATTTTCTTTTCCACCATAGTCCTCAAAGCGCTCCAAATGACCACTTGCAGATACTACAAAAAGAAAATTTCAAAACTCCTCAATCAAGAGAAAGGTTTAACATGGTGAGATGAATGCACACAACCAAAAGAAGTTTCTGAGATTTCTTCTGTGTAGATTTTATGTGAAGATATTTTCTTTTCCACTGTAGGCCTCAAGGCGCACCAAATGTCCACTTGCAGATACTACAAAAAGAGAGTTTCCAAACTGCTCACTCAAAAGAAATGTTTAATTCTGTGAGAAGAATGCACACATCAGAAAGATGTTTGCAGAGTGCTTCTGTCTAGATTTTATGTGAAGATATTTCCTTTTCTACCGCAAGCCGCAAAGCTCTCCAAATGTTCACTTGTAGATTCTACAAAAAGAATTTCAAAACTGCTCAATCAAAAGAAAGGCTTAATTCTGTGAGATGAACGCACACATCACAAAGAAGTTTCTCAGATTGCTTCTGTCTAGATTTTATGTGAATATATTTCCCTTTCTGCCATGGGCTGCAAAGCGTTCCAAATGTCCACTTGCATATTCTACAAAAAGAGTGTTTCCAAACTGCTCAATCAAAAGAAATGTTCAACTCTGTGAGATGAACGCACACATCACAAAGAAGTTTCTAAGAATTCTTCTGTATAGTTTTTATGTGAAGATATTTTATTTTCCACCATAGGCCTCAAGCCTTTCGAAATGTCCACTAGCAGGTTCTACAAAAAGCGTATTTCAAAACTGGCCCTTCAAAAGAAAACTTCAACTATGGGAGATGAATGCACACATCACAAAGAATTTTCTCAGACTGCTTCTGTCTACAATTTATGCGAAGATATTTGCTTTTCTACCATTGGCTGCAAATCTCTCCACATGTGCACTTGCAGATTCTACAAAAAGAGTGTTTCCAAACTGCTCAATCAAAAGAAAGGTTCAAGTCTGTGAGATAAATGCACACATCACAAAGAAGTTTTTCAGAATTCTTCTGTCTAGTTTTTATGTGAAGATACTTCCTTTTCCACCATAGGCCTCAAAGCGCTCCAAATGTCCACATGCAGATTCTACAAAAAGAGATTTTCCAAATTGTTCAATCAAAAGAACGGCTCAACCTTGTGAGATTAACGCACATTACAAAGATGTCTGTCAGAATTCTTCTGTCTAGTTTTTATGTGAAGATATTTCCTTTTCCACTATGGTCCTCAAAGAGCTCCAAATGCTGACTTTCAGATTCTACAGAAAGAGCATTTCAAAACTGCTCAATCAAAAGAAAGGTTCAACTCCGTGAGATGAATACACACATCACAAAGAAGTTTCTCAGAAGTCTTCTGTCTGGTTTTTATGTGAAGATATTTCCTTTTCCACCATAGTTCTAAAAGCACTCCAAATGTCCACTTGCAGATTCTACAAAAAGAGAGTTTCAAACTGCTCAATCAAAAGAAAGATTTAACTCTGTGAGATTAACGCACACATTAAACGGAAGTTTCTCAGATTGCTTCTGTCCTGATTTTATGTGAAGATATTTCGTTTTCTACCATAGGCAGCATAGCGCTCCAAATATCCACCTGCAGATTGTACAAAAAGAGTGCTTCCAACCTGCTCAATCAAAGAAAGGTTCAACTCTGTGAGATGAACTCACTCATCACAAAGAAGTTTCTCAGAATTATTCTGTCTGGTTTTTATGTGAAGATATTTCCTTTTCCACCATAGTCCTCAAAGCGCTCCAAATGACCACTTGCAGATACTACAAAAAGTAAGTTTCAAAACTCCTCAGTCAAGAGAAAGGTTTAACATGGTGTGATGAATGCACACATCACAAAGAAGTTTCTCAGATTGCTTCTGTGTAGATTTTATGTGAAGATATTTCCTTTTCTACCATAGGCTTCAAAGCGCTCCAAATGTCCACTTGAAGATTCTGCAAAAAGAGAGTTTCCAAACTGCTCATTCAAAAGAAAGGTTCAACTCTGTGAGATGAATGCACACATCACAAAGAAGTTTCCCAGGTTTTTTCTGTCTAGTTTTTATGTAAAGATATTTCCTTTTCCACCATAAGACTCAATGAATTTGAAATGTCCACTTGCAGATTCTACCAAAAGAGTATATCAACACTGTTCCATCAAAAGCATGTTTCAACTCTGGGAGATGAATTCACACGTCACACCAAAGTTTCTCAGATTGCTTCTATCTAGTTTTTATGTGATGATATTTCCTTTTTCTAACACAGGCCGCAAAGCTTTCGAAATGTCCACTTGCAGATTCTACAAAAAGAGAGTTTCAAAACTGCTTAATCAAAAGAAAGCTTTAATTCTGTGACATGAATGCACACATCAAAAGCAATTTCTCAGATTTCTTCCTCTAAATTTTATTTGAAGATATTTCCTTTACTATCATATGCCACAAAGCTCTCCAAATGTTCACTTGCAGATTCTTCAAAAAGATTGTTTCCAAAGTGCTCAATCAAAAGAAATGTTTAACTCTGTGAGATGAATTCACACATCAGAAATAAGTTTCTCAGATTGCTTCTGTCTATATTCTATGTGAAGATATTTCCTTTTCTATCATAGGGTGTAAACCGCTCCAAATGTCCCCTTGCAGATTCTACAAAAAGAGTGTTTCCAAACTGCTCAATCAAAAGAAAGGTTCAAGTCTGTGAGATAAATGCAGACATCACAAAGAAGTTTCTCAGAATTCTTCTGTCTAGTTTTTATGTGAAGATACTTCCTTTTCCACCATAGGCCTCAAAGCGCTCCAAATGTCCACATGCAGATTCTACAAAAAGAGGGTTTCCAAACTGCTCAATCAAAACAACGGTTCAACTCTGTGAGGTGAACACACACATCAACAAGAAGTTTCTCAGAATTCTTTTGACTAGTTTTTATGTGAAGATATTTCCTTTTCTACCATAGGCCTCAAAGCACTCCAAATGTAGACTTGTAGATTCTACAAAAAGAGTTTCAAAACTGCTCAATCAAGGGAAAGGTTAAACAATGTGTGGTGAATGCACACATCACAAAGAAGTCTCAGATTGCTTCTGTCTAGATTTTATGTGACAATATTTCCTTTTCTACCGTAGGCCACAAAGTGCTCCAAAAGTCCACTTGCAGATTCTACAAAAAGAGTGTTTGAAACTGCTCAATCAAAAGAAAGGTTCAACTGTGTGAGATTAACGCACACATAAGAAAGAAGTTTCTCAGAATTCTTCTGTCTAGTTTTCATGTGAAGCCATTTTCTTTTCCACCATAGACCTCCAGGCGCTCAAAATGTCCACTTGCAGATTCTACAAAAAGACAGTTTCAAATCTGTTCATTCAAAAGGAAGGTTTAATTCTGTAAGATGAATACAAACATCACAAAGGAGTCTCTCAGAATTCCTCTGTTCAGATTTTATGTGAAGATATTTCCTGTTCTACCATAGGCTTCAAAGCATTCCATACGTCCACTTGCAGATTCTACAAAAAGAGTGTTTCCAAACTGCTCAATCAAAAGAAAGGTTCAACTCTGTGAGATGAACGCACACATCACATAGAAGTTTCTCAGAATACATCTATTTAGTTTTCATGTGAAGATATTTCCTTTTCCACCATAGGCTGCAAAACGCTCCAAATATCCGCTGGCAGATTCTAAAAAAGAGGGTTTCCAAACTGATCAATCATAAAGAAAGGTTCAACTCTGTTACATGAATGCAAGCATCACAAAGGAGTTTCTCAGAATTCTTCTGCCGAGTTTCAATTTGTAGATATTTCCTTTTCCACCATAGGCCTGAAAGGGCTCAAAATGTCCACTTGCAGATTCTACAAAAAGATACTTACAAAACTGCTGGATCAAAAGAATGTTTTACTCTGTGAGATGAATGCACACATCCCAAAGAAGTTTCTCAGAATTGTTCTGTCTAGTTTTTATGTGAAGATATTTCCTTTTCCACCATAGGTCTAAAAGTGCTCCGAATGTCCACTTGCAGATTCTACAAAAAGAGAGTTTCAAAACTGCTGAATCAAAAGTAAGGTTCAACTCTCTTAGATGAATGCACATATCACAATGAAGGTTGTCAGAATGCTTCTGTCTAGTTTTTATGTGAAGATATTTCCTTTTCCACCACATGCGTCAAAGCCCTCCAAATGTCCACTTGCAGATTCTCCAAAAAGAGTGTTTCAAAATTGCTCAATGAAAAGTAAAGTTCAACTCTGTGAGATGAATGCACACATCACAAAGAAGTTTCTCAGAATACTTCTGTATGGTTTTTAGGTGAAGATATTTTCTTTTCCTCCATAGGCCTCAAAGCGATCCAAATGTCCACATGCAGATCCTACAAAAAGAGTTTTTCAAAACTGCTCAATCAAAAGAAAGGTTCACGTCAGTGAGATGAATGCAAACGTCACAATGAAGTTTTTCAAAATACTTCTGTCTAGTTTTTCTGTGAAGATATTTCCTTTTCCACCATAGGCCTCAAAGTGCTCCAAATGTCCACTTGCAGATTCTACAAAAAGAGTGTTTCAAAGCTGTTCAATCAAAAGAAAGGTCCAGCTCTGAGAGATGAATGCACACATTACAAAGTAGTTTGTCAGAATGCTTCTGTCTCGTTTTTATGTGAAGGTATTTCCTTTTCCACCATGTGCGTCAAAGCCCTCAAAATGTCCACTTACAGATTCTCCAAAAAGAGTGTTTCAAAATTGCTCAATGAAAAGTAAGTTTCAACTCTGTGAGATGAATGCACACATCACAAAGAAGTTTGTCAGAATGCTTCTGTCTAGTTTTTATGTGAAGATATTTCCTTTTTTGCCATAGGCCCCAAAGCGCTCCAAATGACTACTTGCAGATTCTACAAAAACAGTGTTTCAAAGTTGCTCAATCAAAAGAAAGGTTCAACTCTGAAAGATGAATGCACACATAACAAAGAAGTTTGTTCAGAAGATTTCTGTCTAGTTTTTATGTGACGATATATCCTTTTCCACCATAGGCCACAAAGCGGTCCAATTGTCCACTTGCAGATACTACAAAAAGAGTGTTTCAAATCTGCTCAATGAAAAGTAAGGTTCAAATCTGTGAGTTGAACGCACACATCGAAAAGAAGTTTGTCAGAATGCTTCTGTCTGTTCTATATGTGAAGATGTTCCCTTTTCCACCACAGGCCTCAAAGCGCTCCAAATGTACACTTGCAGATTCTACAAAAAGAGTGTTTCAAAGCTCCTGAATCAAAGAAAGTTTCAATTCTTTGTGAGATGAATGCACACATCACAAAGAAGTTTGTCAGAATGCTTCTGTCTAGTTTTTAAGTGAAGATATTTCCTTTTCCACCATAGGCCTCAAAGCACTCCAATTGTCCACTTGCAGATTTTACAGAAAGAGTGCTTCGAAAGTGCTCAATCAAAAGGGAGGTTCAACTCTGTGAGATGAATGCACACGTCACAAAGAAGTTTCTCAGAATGCTTCTGTCCAATTTTTATGTGAAGATATTTCGTTTTCCACCATAGACCCCAAAGCACTCCAATTGTCCACTTGCAGATTTTACAGAAAGAGTGCTTCCAAAGTGCTCAATCAAAAGGGAGGTTCAACTCTGTGAGATGAATGCACACGTCACAAAGAAGTTTCTCAGAATGCTTCTGTCCAATTTTTATGTGAAGATATTTCGTTTTCCACCATAGACCTCAAAGCACTCCAATTGTCCACTTGCAGATTTTACAGAAAGAGTGCTTCCAAAGTGCTCAATCAAAAGGGAGGTTCAACTCTGTGAGATGAATGCACACATCACAAAGAAGTTTCTCAGAATGCTTCTGTCCAATTTTTATGTGAACATATTTCATTATCCACCATAGGCCTCAAAGCACTCCAAATGTCCACTTGCAGATTCTACAAAAAGAATGTTGCAAAGCTTCTCAATCAAAAGAAAGTTTCAACTCCTTGTGAGATGTATGCAGACATCACAAAAAGTTAATCATAATGCTTCTCTCTATTTATTATATGAAGATATTTCGTTATCCATCATAGGACTCAAAGCGCTCCAAATGTCCACTTTCAGATTCTACAAAAAGAGTTTTTCAAAACTAGACAATCAAAAGTAAGGTTCAACTCTGTGAGATGATTGCACACATCACAAAGAAATTTCTCAGAATGTTTCTGTCTAGTTCTTATGTGAAGATATTTCCTTTTCCACCATAGGCCTCAAAGCACTCCAATTGTCCACTTGCAGATTTTACAGAAAGAGTGCTTCCAAAGTGCTCAATCAAAAGGGAGGTTCAACTCTGTGAGATGAATGCACACATCACAAAGAAGTTTCTCAGAATGCTTCTGTCCAATTTTTATGTGAACATATTTCGTTATCCACCATAGGTCTCAAAGCACTCCAAATGTCCACTTGCAGATTCCACAAAAAGAATGTTGCAAAGCTGCTCAATCAAAAGAAAGTTTCAACTCTTTGTGAGATGTATGCAGACATCACAAAAAGTTTAACATAATGCTTCTCTCTATTTATTATATGAAGATATTTCGTTATCCATCATAGGCCTCAAAGCGCTCCAAATGTCCACTTTCAGATTCTACAAAAAGAGTTTTTCAAAACTGGACAATCAAAAGTAAGGTTCAACTGTGTGAGATGATTGCACACATCACAAAGAAATTTCTCAGAATGCTTCTGTCTAGTTCTTATGTGAAGATATTTCCTTTTCCACCATAGGCCTCAAAGCACTCCAAATGTCCACTTGCAGATAGCACAAAAAGGATGTTTCAAAACTGCTCTATCAAAAGTAAGTTTCAACTCTGTGAGATGAATGTACACATCACAAAGAAGGTTGTCAGAATACGTCTGTTTAGTTTTTATGTGAAGATATTTCCTTTTCCACCATCAGCCTCAAAGTGCTCCAAATGTTCACTTGCAGATTCTACAAAAAGGGTGTTTCAAACCCGCTGAATCAAAAGAAAGGTTCAACTCTGTGAGATGAATGCACAAATCACAAAGTAGTTTGTCAGAATGCTTCTGTCTAGTTTGTATGTGAAGATATTTTCTTTTCCACCAGAGACCTCAAAGCGCACCAAATGTTCACTTGCAGATTTTACAAATAGGGTGTTTCAAAGCTGCTCAATCAAAAGAAAGGTTCAACTCTGTGAGATGAATGCACACATCACAAAGAAGTTTGTCAGAATTCTTCTGTGTAGTTTTCATGTGAAGATATTTTCTTTTCTACCATAGGCCTCAAAGCGCTCCAAATGTCCACATGCAGATTCTATAAAATACTTTTTCAAAACTGCTCAATCAAAAGAAAGGTTCAAGTCAGTGAGATGAATGCAAACGTCACAAAGAAGTTTTTCAAAATGCTTCTGTCTAGTTTTTATCTGAAGATATTTCCTTTTCCACCATAGGCTTCAAAGTGATCCAAATGTCCAATTGCAGATTCTACAAAAAGAGTGTTTCAAAGCTGCTCAATCAAAAGAAAGGTCCAGCTCTGCGAGATAAATGCACACATCACAAAGAAGTTTGTGAGAATGCTTCTGTCTGGTTTTTATGTGAAGATATTTCCTTTTCCACCATAGGCCTCAAAGCACTCCAAATGTCCAGTTGCAGACGTTACAAAAAGGGTGTTTCAAAACTGCTCAATCAAAAGTAAGGTTCAACTCTGTGAGATGAATGCGCATGTCACAAAGAAGGTTGTCACAATGCTTCTGTCTAGTTTTTATGTGAAGATATTTCCTTTTCCACCATTGGCCTCAAAGTTCTCCAAATGTCCAAATGCAGATTCAACAAAAAGAGTGTTTCAGAACTGCTGAATGAAAGGTAAGGTTCAACTCTGTGAGATAAATGCACACATCACAAAGAAGTTTGTCAGAATGCTTCTGTCTAGTTTTTATGTGAAGATATTTACTTTTCCACCATAGGCCTCAAAGCGCTCCAAATGTCCACTTGCAGATAGTACAAAAAGAGTATTTCAAAACTTCTGAATGAAAATTAAGTTTCAACTCTGAGAGATTAATGCACACATCACAAAGATGTATGTCAGAATGCGTCTATCTAGTTTTTACATCAAGATATTTCGTTATCCAACATAGGCCTCAAAGCGCTCCTAATGTCCACTTGCAGATTTTACAAAAACAGTGTTTCAAAGCTGCTTAATCAAAATAAAGTTCAAATCTGTGAGATGAATGCACCCATCGCAGAGAAATTTGTCAGAATGCTTCTGTTTAGTTCTTATGTGAAGATATTTCTTTTTCCACCAAAGGTCTCAAAGCACTCCAAATGTCCACTTGTGGATATTACCAAAAGGGTGCTTCAAAACTGCTCAATCAAAAGTAAGGTTCAACTCTGTGACATGAATGTACACATCACAAAGAAGTTTGTCAGAATGCTTTTGTCTAATTTTTATGTGGAGATATTTCCTTTTCCAACATAGGCCTCAAGTGCTTCAAATGTCCACTTGCAGATTCTACAAAAAGAGTGTTTTGAAACAGCTCAATTGAAGGTAAGGTTCAACTCTGTGATGTGAATGCACACATTACAAAGAAGTTTGTCAGAATGCTTCTGTCTAGTTTTTATGTAAAGATATCTCCTTTTCAACCATAGCTCTCAAGTGCTCCAAATGTCCACTTGTAGATTCTACAAAAAGAGTGCTTCAAAACTGCTCAATGAAAAGTAAGGTTCAATTCCATGAGATGAATGCACGCATCACAAAGGAGTTTGTCAGAATGCTTCTGTCTGGTTTTTATGTGATGATATTTCCTTTTCTACCAAAGGCCTCAAAGCACTCCAAATATCCAATTGCAGATTATACAAAAAGAGTGTTTCAGAGCTGCTCAATCAAAAGAAAGTTTCCACTCTGTGAGACGAATGCACACATCACAAAGAAGTTTGTCATAATGCTTCTGTCTAGTTGTTATATGAAGATATTTCATTAACCACCATAGGCCTCAAAGTGCAGCAAATGTCCACTTGCAGATTCTACAAAAAAGAGTGTTTCAAAACTGCTCAATCGAAAGTAAGGTTCAACTCTGTGAGATGAATGCACACATCACAAAGGAATTTCTCAGAATCTTTCTGCCTAGTTCTTATGTGAAGATATTTCCTTTTCCACCATAGGCCTTAAAGCACTCCAAATGTCCACTTGCAGATTCTACAAAAAGAGGGTTTCCAAATTGCTCAATCAAAAGAAAGGTTCAACTCTGTGAGCTGAAGGCACACATCACAAAGAAGTTTGTCAGAAAGCTTCTTTCTGGTTTTTATGTGAAGATATTTCCTTTTTCCACCAAAGGCCTCAAAGCGCTCCAAATGTCCAACTGCAGATGCTACAAAAAGAGTGTGTCTGAGCTTCTCAATCAAAAGAAAGGTTCCACTCTGTGAGACGAATGCACACATCATAAAGAAGTTTGGCATAATGCTTCTGTCTAGTTATTATATGAAGATATTTCATTAACCACCATAGGCCTCAAAGTGCAGCAAATGTCCACTTGCAGATTCTACAAAAAAGAGTGTTTCAAAACTGCTTAATCGAAAGTAAGGTTCAACTCTGTGAGATGAATGCACACATCACAAAGGAATTTCTCAGAATCCTTCTGCCTAGTTCTTATGTGAAAATATTTCCTTTTCCACCATAGGCCTCAAAGCACTCCAAATGTCCACTTGTAGATACTACAAAACGGGTGTTTCAAAACTGCTCAATCAAAAGTAAGGTTCAATTCTGTGAGATGAATTCACACATCACAAAGGAGTTTGTCAGAAAGCTTCTTTCTGGTTTTTATGTGCAGATATTTCCTTTTCCACCAAAGGCCTCAAAGCACTCCAAATGTCCAATTGCAGATGCTACAAAAAGAGGGTTTCCAAATTGCTCAATCAAAAGAAAGGTTCCACTCTGTAAGATGCAAGCACACATCATAAAGGAGTTTTTCATAATGCTTCCATCTAGTTATTATATGAAGATATTTTGTTATCCACCATAGGCCTCAAAGTGCAGCAAATGTCCACTTGCAGATTCTACAAAGAGAGTGTTTCAAAACTGCTCAATCGAAAGTAAGGTTCAACTCTGTGAGATGAATGCACATATCACAAAGAAGGTTGTCAGAATGCTTCTGTCTAGTTTTTATGTGAAGATAATTCCTTTTCCACCATAGGCCTCAAAGCGCACGAAATGTCCACTTGCAGATTCTACAAAGAGAGTATTTCAAAACTGCTCAATGAAAAATAAGGTTCAACTCTGTGAGATCAGTGCACACATCACAAAGAAGTTTGTCAGAATGCTTCTGTCTAGTTTTTATGTGAAGATTTTTCCTTTTCCACCATAGGCCTCAAAGCTCTCCAAATGTCCACTTGCAGATTCTACAAAAAGAGTGTTTCAAAGTTGTTCAATCAAAAGAAAGGTTCAACTCTGTGAGATGAATGCACACATCACAAAGTAGTTTCTCAGAATGCATCTGTCTACTTTTTACCTGAAGATATTTACTTTTCCACCATAGGCCTCAAAGCGCTCCAAATGTCCACTTGCAGATACTACAAAAAGAGTGTTTCAAAACTTCTCAATGAAAAGTAAGGTTCAACCCTGTGAGATGAATGCACACAACACAAAGAAGTTTGTGAGAATAGTCTGTCTAGTTTTTATGTGAAGATATTTCCTTTTCCACCATAGGCCTCATAGTGCTCCAAATGTCCACTTGTAGATTCTACAAAAAGAGTGTTTCAAAGCTTCTCAATGAAAAGCAAGGTTTAACCCTGTGAGATGAATGCGCACATCACAAAGAAGTTTCTCAGCGGGCTTCTTTCTAGTTTCTATATGAAGACATTTCCTTTTCCTCAATAGGACTCAAAGTCCTCCAATTGCTTACTAGCAGATTCTACAGAAAGAGTGTTTCAAAACTGCTCAATGAAAAGTAAGGTTCAATTCTGTGAGATGAATGCACACATCACAAAGAAGTTTGTCAGAATGCTTCTGTCTGGTTTTTATGTGAAGATATTTCCTTTTCCACCATAGGCCTCAAAGCGCTCCAAATATCCACTTGCTGATTCTACAAAAAGAGTGTTTCAAAGATGATCAATCAAAAGAAAGGTTCAAATCAGTGTGAGATGAATTCACACATCACAAAGAAGTTTCTCAAAATGCTTCTGTCTAGTTATTATATGAATATATTTGGTTATCCACTATAGGCCTCAAAGCGCTCCAAATGTCCACTTGCATATACTACAAAAAGAGTGTTTCAAAGCTGCTCAATCAAAACAAAGTTTCACCACGGTGAGATGAATGCACATATCACAAAGAAGTTTGTCAGAACGCTTCTGTCTAGTTTTTATGTGAATATATTTCCTTTTTCACCATATGCCTGAAATTGTTCCAAATGTCCACTTGCAGGTTCTACCAAAAGAGTGTTTCCAAACTGCTCAATAAAAAGAAAGGCTCAACTGTGTGAGATGAACACACTCAACACAAACGAGTTTCTCAGAATTCTTTTTTCTCGTTTTTATGTGAAGATATTTCCTTCTCCACCATGGGTCTCAAAGTGCTCCAAATGTCCACTTGCAGATTGTACAAAAAGAGTGTTTCAAAGCTGTTCAATCAAAAGAAATGTTCAACTCTGTGAGATGAATGCACACATCACAAGGCAGTTTGTCAGAATGCTTCTGTCTAATTTTTATGTGAAGATATATCCTTTTCCACCATAGTCCTCAAAGCGCTCCAATTGTACACTTATAGAATCTACAAAAATAGTGTTTTAAAACTGCTCAATCAACAGAAATGTTCAACTCCGTGAGATGAAGGCACACATCACAAAGAAGTTTGTCAGAGTGTTTCTGTCCAGTTCTGAAACACAATTTTTGTGCTATCTGCAAGTGGACTTTTGGAGTGCTTTGAGGCCTATGGTGGATAAGGAAATATCTTCACATAAAAACTAGACAGAAGCATTCTAACAAATTTCTTTGAGATGTGTGCACTCATCTCACAGAGTTGAACATTTCTTTTGATTGAGTAATTTGGTAACTCTCTGTAGAATCTGCAAGTGGATATTTGGAGCGCTATGAGGCCTATGGTCGAAAAGAAAGTATCTTCACTTAGGAACTAGACAGAAACATTCTGAAAAACTTCTTTGTGATGTGTGCATTCATCTCAGAGTTGAACCATTCTTTTGATTGACCAGTTTTTTTTTTTTTTTTTTTTTTTTTTTTTTTTTTTTTTTTTTTTTTGAGACGGAGTCTCGCTCTGTCGCCCAGGTCGGACTGCGGACTGCAGTGGCGCAATCTCGGCTCACCGCAAGCTCCGCTTCCCGGGTTCACGCCATTCTCCTGCCTCAGCCTCCTGAGTAGCTGGGACTACAGGCACCCGCCACCGCGCCCGGCTAATTTTTTGTATTTTTAGTAGAGACGGGGTTTCACCGTTTTAGCCAGGATGGTCTCGATCTCCTGACCTCATGATCCACCCGCCTCGGCCTCCCAAAGTGCTGGGATTACAGACGTGAGCCACCGCGCCCGGCCTTGATTGACCAGTTTTGAAACACTCTCTGTAGAATCTGCAAATGGACATTTGGAGGGCTTTGCAACTGATGGTGCAAAAGGAAATATCTTCACATAAAAACTATTCTGAAACATTCTGACAAACTCCTTTGTGATGTGTGCATTCATCTCATGGAGTTGAAACTTCCTTTGCATTGAACAGTTTTGAAAAACTCTTTTTGTAGAATCTGCAAGTGTACACTTGGAGCGCTTTGAGGCCTATTGTCGAAAAGGTAAAAACTTCACAAAAAATCTAGACAGGATCATTCTTAGAAAATTCTTTGTGATGTGATCATTCATCTCACAGAGTTGAATCTTTCTTTTGATTGAGCAGTTTTGAAACACTCTTTGTAGAATTTCCACGTGGACATTTGGCCCCTAAGAGGCCTATGTTGGAAAAGGAAATATCTTCACATTAAAACTAGACAGAAGCTTTCTGAGGTACTTCTTTGTGATGTGTGCATTCATCTCAGAGAGTTGAACATTGCTTTTGATTGAGCAGTTTTGAAACACCCTTTTTGTACTATCTGGAATTGGATATTTGGAGTGCTTTGAGGCCTATGGTGGAGAAGGAAATATCTTCACATAAAAACTAGACAGAAGCATTCTGACAAATTACTTTGTGATGTGTGCATTTATCTCACAGAGTTGAACCTTTCTTTTGATTGAGTAGTTTGGAAACCCTCTTTTTGTAGAATCAGCAAGTGGACATTTGAGTGCTTTGAGGCCTATGGTGGAAAAAGAAATATCTTCAATTAAAAATTAGACAGAAGCATTCTGAGAGATTTCTTTGTGATGTGTGCATTCATGTCACAGAGTTGAAATTTTCTTTTGATTGAGCAGTTTTGAAACACTCTTTTTGTAAAATCTGCAACTGGACATTTGGAGCACTTTGAGGACTATGATGGAAAAGGAAATATCTTCACATAAAAACTAGACATAAGCATAATGAAAAACTTCTTTGTGATGTGTGCATTCATCTCACGGAGTTGAACTTTTCTTTTGTTTGAGCAGCTTAAAAACACTGTTTTTGTAGAATCTGCAAGTAAACTTTTGGAGTGCTTTGAGGCCTATGGCGGAAAAGGAAATATCTTCACATAAAAACTATAGAGAAAGATTCTGACAAACTTCGTCATAATGGGTGCATTCATCTTATGGAGTTGAAAATTAGTTTTGAATGACCAATTTGAAACACTCTTTTTGTAGGATCTGCACGTAGACATTTGGAGCGCTTTGAGGCCTATGGTGGAAAATGAAATATCTTCACATAAAAACTAGACAGAAGCATTCTGAAAAAATTTTGTGATGTGTGCATTCATCTCACAGAATTGGACCTTTCTTTTGATTGAGCAGTTTTGAAACACTCTTTTTGTAGAAACTGCAAGCGGACATGTGGAGTGCTTTGAGGCCAATGGTGGAAAAGGAATACCTTCACATAAAAACTATGCAGAAGCATTCTGTCAAACTCCTTTGTGACGGGTACATTCATCTCACAGAGTTGAACATTTCTTTTGATTGAGCAACTTTGAAACACCATTTTTGTAGAATCTGAGAGTGGACATTTTGCGCACGTTGAGGCCTATGGTGGAAAAGGAAATAACGTAAAAACTAGACAGAAGAATTCTGACAAACTTCTTTGTGATTTGTGCATTCATCTCACAGAGTTGAACCTTACTTTACGTTGAGCAGTTTTGAAACCCTTTTTGCAGAATCTTCATGTGGTCATTTGGGGCGCTTTGAGGCATATGGTGGAAAAGGAAATATCTTCACATAAAAACTACTCAGAAGCATTCCGACAAGCTTATTTCTGATGTGTGCATTCATGTCACAGGGTTGAAACTTACTTTTCATTGAGCAGTTTTGAAACACTCTTTTTGTAGAATCTGCAAGTAGACATTTGGAGCAACTTGATTCCTATGGTGGATAACGAAATATCTTCCTTTAATAACTAGACACAAGCATGGTGAGAAATTTCTTTGTGATGTGTGCATTCATCCCACAGAGTTGAACTTTTCTTTAGATTGAGCAGCTTTGAAACACTCTTTTTGTAGGATCTGCAAGTGGTCATTTGGAACACTTTGAGGCCTATGGTGGAAAAGGAAATATCTTCACATAAAAACTAGACAGAAGCATTCTACCAAACTTCTTTGTGATGTGTGCATTCATCTCACAGAATTGAATCTTACTTTTGATTGAGGAGTTTTGAAAGACGCTTTTTGTACTATTTGCAAGTGGACGTTTGGAGTGATTTGAAGCCTATGGTGGAAAAGGAAATATCTTCACATGAGAACTAGACAGAAACATCTTGACAAATGTCTTCATCATGTGTGCATTCATCTCACAAAGTTGAACCTTACTTTTCATTGAGCAGCTTTGAAACACTGTTATTGTAGAATCTGCAAGTGGACATTTGGAGTGCTGTGAGACCAATGGTGGAAAAGGAAAAATCTTCACATAAAAACTAGACAGAAGCATTGTGACAAACTTCTTTGTGATGTGTGCATTCATCTCACAGAGTTGAAACTTTCTTTTGATTGACCAGCTTTCAAAAGCTCTTTTTGTAGAATCTGGATGTGGACATTTGGAGCGCCTTGAGGCCCATGGTGGAAAGGGTAATATCTTCACATAAAAACAAGACAGAAGCATTCTGACAAACTTCTTTTTGATGTGTGCATTCATCTCACAGAGTTGAACTTTCTTTTGATTGAGCAGCTTTGAAACACTCTTTTTGTAGAATCTGCAAGTGGACATTTGGAGCGCTTTTTGGTGTCTGGTGGAAAAGGAAGTATCTTTACGTAATAACTAGACAGAAGCATTCTGACACACTTCTTTGTGATGTGTGCATTCATCTCACGGAGTTGAAACTTTCTTTTGATTGTGCAGTTTTGAAACAATGTTTTTGTAGAATCTGCAAGTGGACATTTGGAGCGCTTTGAGGACTATGGTGGAAAAGGAAATATCTTCACATAAAAACTAGACAGAAGAAATCTGGCAAACTTCTTTTTGACGTGTGCATTCATCTCACAGAGTTGAAACTTTCCTTTGATTGAGCAGCTTTAAGCACCCTTTTTGTAGAATCTGCGAGTGGACTTTGGAAGCGCTTTGAAGCCTATGGTGAAAAAAGAAATATCTTCACATAAAAACTAGACACAAGAATTTTGACAAACTTCTTTGTGATTTCTTTATTCATCTCAGAGAGGTGACCCTTACTTTTGATTGAGCAGATTTGAAACACTTTTTTTTTGTAGAATCTGGAAGTGGACATTTGGGGCGCTTTGAGGCCTATGGTGGAAACGGAAATATCTTCACATAAAAACCAGGCAGAAGCATTCTGACAAACTTCTTTGTGATGTGTACATTCACCTCACCGAGTTGAACATTTCTTTTGATTCGGCAGCTTTGAAACACTCTTTTTTTTGAATCTGCAGTGGACATTTGGAGCACTTTGTGTCCTATGGTGGAAAAGGATATATCTTCACATAAAAACTAGATAGAAGCATTCTGACAAACTTGTCTGTGATGTGTGCATTCATCTCACAGAGTTGACACTTACTTTTCATTGAGGAGTTTTGAAACACTTTTTGTAGAATCTGCAAGTGGACATTTGGAGCGCTTTGAGGCCTATAGTGTAAAAGGAAATATCTTCACAAAAAAACTAGACAGAAGCATTCTGGCAAACTTATTTGTGATGTGTGCAATCATCTCACAGAGTTTAAACTTTCTTTCGATTGAGCAGCTTTGAATCACTCTTTTTGTAGAATCTGCAAGTGGATATTTTGAGCGCTTTGAGGCTTATGGTGGAAAAGGAAATACCTTCACATAAAAACTAGACAGAAGCATTCTGACAAAATTCTTTGTGATGTGTGCATTCATCAGAGAGATGAACCTCACTTTTCATTCAGCAGTTTTGAAACACTCTTTTTGTAGAATCTGCAAGTGTACATTTGGGGCACTTTAAGGCCTTTATTGGAAAAGGAAATATCTTCATATAAAAACTATACAGAAGCATTCGGACAAACTTTGTGATGTGCGTTTTCATCTCACAGAGTTAAAACTTTCTTTTGATTCAGCAGCTTTTAAACACCCTTTTTGTAGGATCTGCTAGTGGACATTTGGAGCGATTTGAGGCCTATGGTGGAAAAGGAAATATCTTCACATAACAACTAGACAAAAGAATTCTGAGAAACTTCTCTGTGATGTGTGCGTTCATGTCACAGAGTTGAATCTTTCTTTTGATTGAGAAGTTTGGAATCTCTTTTTGTAGAATCAGCAAGTGGACATTTGGAGGGCTTTGTGGCTATGGTAGAAAAGGATATATCTTCACATAAAGTCTAGACAGAAGCAATCTGAAAAACTTGTTTTATTATTATTATTATTATACTTTAAGTTTTAGGACACATGTGCACAATGTGCAGGTTACTTACATAGGTATACATGTGCCATGCTGGTGAGCTGCACCCACTAACTCGTCATCTAGCATTAGGTATATTTCCCACTGCTATCCCTCTTGCCTCCCCACAACCCACAACAGACCCCAGAGTGTGACGTTCCCCTTCCTGTCTCCATGTGTTCTCATTGTTCAATTCCCACTTATGAGTGAGAATATGCTTTGTTTGGTTTTTTGTTTTTGCGATAGTTTACTGAGAATGATGATTTCCAATTTCATCCATGTCCCTACAAAGGACATGAACTCATCATTTTTTATGGCTGCATAGTATTCCATGGTGTATATGTGCCACATTTTCTTAATCCAGTCTATCATTGTTGGACATTTGGCTTGGTTCCAAGTCTTTGCTATTGTGAATAGTGCCACAATAAACATACATGTGCATGTGTCTTTATAGCAGCATGATTTATACTCCTTTGGGTATATACCCAGTAATGGGATGGCTGGGTCAAGTGGTATTTCTTGTTCTAGATACCTGAGGAATATCCACACTGACTTTCACAAGGGTTGAACTAGTTTACAGTCCCACCAACAGTGTAAAAGTGTTCCTATTTCTCCACATCCTCTCCAGCACCTGTTGTTTCCTGACTTTTTAATGATTGTCATTCTAACTGGTGTGAGATAATATCTCATTGTGGTTTTGATTTGCATTTCTCTGATGGCCAGTGATGATGAGCATTTTTTCATGTTTTTTTAGGATATCCAGGAATTGAACTCAGCTCTGCACCAAGTGGACCTAATAGACATCTACAGAACTCTCCACCCCAAATCAACAGAATGTACATTTTTTTCAGCACCACACCACACCTATTCCAAAATTGACCACATAGTTGGAAGTAAAGCTCTCTGCAGCAAATGTAAAAGAACATAAATTATAACAAACTGTCTCTCAGACCACAGTGCAATCAAACTAGAACTCAGGATTAAGAAACTCACTCAAAACCGCTCAACTACATGGAAACTGAACAACCTGCTCCTGAATGACTACTGGATACATAACAAAATGAAGGCAGAAATAAAGATGTTCTTTGAAACAATGAGAACGAAGAAACAACATACCAGAATCTCTGGGACACATTCAAAGCAGTGTGTGAGGGAAATTTATGCTACTAAATTCCCACAACAGAAAGCAGGAAAGATCCAAAATTGACACCCTAACATCACAATTAAAAGAACTAGAAAAGCAAGAGCAAACACATTCAAAAGCTAGTAGAAGGCAAGAAATAACTAAAATCAGAGCAGAACTGAAGGAAATAGAGACACAAAAAACCCTTCAAAAAATTAATGAATCCAGGAGCTGGTTTTTTGAAAGGATCAACAAAATTGATAGACCACTAGCAAGACTTATAAAGAAAAAAAGAGAGAAGAATCAAATAGACGCAATAAAAAATGATAAAGGGGATATCACCACCGATCCAACAGAAATACAAACTACCATCAGAGATTACTACAAACACCTCTATGCAAAAAACTAGAAAATCTAGAAAAAATGGATAAATTCCTGGACACATACACTCTCCGAAGACTAAACCAGGAAGAAGTTGAACCTCTGAATAGACCAATAACAGGAGCTGAAATTGTGGCAATAATCAATAGCTTACCAACCAAAAAGAATCCAGGAACAGATGGATTCACAGCCGAATTCTACCAGAGGTACAAGGAGGAACTGGTACCATTCCTTCTGAAATTATTCCAATCAATAGAAAAAGAAGGAATCCACCGTAACTCATTTTATGAGGCCAGCATCATCCTGATACCAAAGCCAGGCAGAGACACAACAAAAAAAGAGAATTTTAGACCAGTATCCTTGATGAACATTGATGCAAAAATCCTCAATAAAATACTGGCAAATCGAATCCAGCAGCACATCAAAAAGCTGATCCACCATGATCAAGTGAGCTTCATCCCTGAGATGCAAGGCTGGTTCAATATAAGCAAATCAATAAATGTAATCCAGCATTTAAACAGAACCAAAGACAAAAACCACATGATTATCTCAATAGACACAGAAAAGGCCTTTGACAAAATTCAACAACACTTCATGCTAAAAACTCTCAATAAATTACGTATTGATGGGACGTATCTCAAAACAGTAAGAGCTGTCTATGACAAACCCACAGCCAATATCATACTGAATGGGCAAACACTGGAAGCATTCCCTTTGAAAACTGGCACAAGAGAGGGATGCCCTCTCTCAACACTCCTATTCAACATAGTGTTGGAACTTCTGGCCAGGGCAATTAGGCAGGAAAAGGAAATAAAGGGTATTCTATTAGGAAAAGAGGAAGTCAAATTGTCCCTGTTTGCAGATGACATGATTGTATATCTAGAAAACTCCATTGTCTCAGCCCAAAATCTCCTTAAGCTGATGAACAATTTCAGCAAAGTCTCAGGATACAAAATCAATGTACAAACATCACAAACATTCTTATACACCAATAACAGACAAACAGAGAGCCAAATTATGAGTGAACTCCCATTCACAATTGCTTCAAAGAGAATAAAATACCTAGGAATCCACCTTACAAGGAACATGAAGGACCTCTTCAAGAACTACAAACCACTGCTCAATGAAATAAAAAAGGATACAAGGAAATGGAAGAACATTCCATCCTCATGGGTAGGAAGAATCAATATCATGAAAATGGCCATAGAGCCCAAGGTAATTTATGGATTCAATGCCATCCCCATCAAGCTACCAATGATTTTCTTCACAGAATTGGAAAAAACTACTTTAAAGTTCATATGGAACCAAAAAAGTGCCCGCATCGCCAAGTCAATCCTAAGCCAAAAGAACAAAGCTGGAAGCATCATACTACCTGACTTCAAACTATACTACAAGGCTACAGTAACCAAAACAGCATGGTACTGGTACCAAAACAGAGATATAGATCAATGGAACAGAACAGAGCCCTCAGAAGTAACGCCGTATATCTACAACTATCTGATCTATGACAAACCTGAGAAAAACAGGCAATGGGGAAAGGATTCCCTATTTAATAAATGGTGCTGGGAAACTGGCTAGCCATATGAAGAAAGGTGAAACTGGATCACTTCCTTACACCTTATACAAAAATCAATTCAAGATGGATTAAAGACTTAAACGTTAGACCTCAAACCATAAAAACCCTAGAAGAAAACCCAGGCACTACCATTCAGGACATAGGCATGGGCAAGGACTTCATGTCTGAAACAACAAAAGCAATGGCAACAAAAGCCAAAATTGACAAATGGGATCTAATTAAACTAAGGAGCTTCTGCACAGCAAAAGAAACTACCATCAGAGTGAACAGGCAACCCACAAAATGGGAGAAAATTTTCGCAACCTATTCATCTGACAAAGGGCTAATATCCAGAATCTACAATGAACTCAAACAAATTTACAAGAAAAAAACAAACAACCCTATCAAAAAGTGGGTGAAGGACATGAACAGACACTTCTCAAAAGAAGACATTGATGAGGAACTTCTTTGTGATGTGTACATTCATCTTACAGAGTTAAAACTTTATTTGATTGAGCAGTTTCGAAACTCACTTTTTGTAGCATCTGCAAGCGTACATTTGTAGCACTTTGCATCTTGTGGTAGAAAAGGAAATATCTTCACATAAAATCTAGACAGAAGCAATCTGAGATACTTCTTTGTGATGTGTGCATTCATCTCACAGAGTTAAAACTTTCTCTTGATTGAGAAACCCTCTTTTTGTAGAATCTGCAAGTGGACATTTGGAGCGCTTTGTGGCCTATGGTGGAAAAGTTAATATTTTCACATAAATAATAGACAGAAAAATTCTGAGAAACTTCTTTGTGATGTATGTGTTCATCTCACAGATTTGAAACTTTCTTTTGATTGAGCAGTTTGGAAACATTCTTTTTGTAGAATCTGCAATGGACAATTGGAACGCTTTGCATCTTATGGTAGAAAAGGAAATATCTTCACATAAAATCTAGAGAGAAGCAATCTGAGAAACTTATTTTTGATGTGTGCTTTCATCTCAGAGAGTTAAACTTTTCTTTTGATTTAGTAGTTTTGAAACTCTCTTTTTGCAGAAACTGCAAGTGGAGATTTGGGGTGCTTTGGGGCCTATGGTGGAAAAGGAAATATCTTCACATAAAAACTTTACAGAAGAATTCTGACAAACTTCTTTGTGATGTGTGTGTTCATCTCACAGAGATGAACATTTCTTTTGATTCGGCAGTTTGGAAAAAATCATTTGTAGAATCTGCAAGTGGACATTTGGAGCGCTTTGCAGCCAATGGTAGAAAAGGAAATAACTTCATAAAAAACCTAAACAGAAGCAATCTGAGAAACTTCTTAGTGATATGTGCTTTCATCCCACTGAGTTGAAACTTTCTTTTGATTGAGCAGTTTGGAAACACTCTTTTGTAGAATCTGCAAGTAGACATTTTGAGCGCTTTGCGGCCTATGGCAGAAAAGGAAGTATCTTCACCTAACATCTACACAGAAGCAATGTGAGAAACTTCTTTGTGATGTGTGCATTCATCTCACAGAGTTAAACCTTTCTTTTGATTGAGCATTTATGAAACTCTCTTTTTGTAAATTCTACAAGTGAACATTTGGAGCTCTTTGAGGCCTGTGGTGGAAAAGCAAAAATCTTCACATAAAAACTAGACAGAAGAATTTTGAGAAACTTCTTTGTGATGCGTGGGTTAATCTCACAGAGTTGAACATTTCTTTTGATGGAGCAGTTTGGAAACACTCTTTTTGTAGAATCTGCAAGCAGACATTTGGAGCGCTTTTGGGCCTACTTTAGAAAGGGGAATATCTTCATATAAAAACTAGACAGAAGAATTCTGAGAAACTTCTTTGTGATGTGTGCATTCATCTCACAGAGTTGAACCTTTCCTTGAATTGAGCAGTTTTGACACTCTCTTTTTGTAGAATCTGCAAGTGAACATTTGGAGCTCTTTGTGGCCTCTGTTAGAAAAGGAAATATCTTAACATAAAATCTACACAGTAGCAATCTGAGAAACTTCCTTGTGATGTGTGCATTCATCTCACAGGGTTAAACTTTTCTTTTGATGGAGCAGTTTTGAAACTTTCTTTTTGTAGGATCTGCAAGTGGACATTTAGAGCACTTTGAGGCCTATGGTGGAAAAGAAAATACCTTCACATAAAAACTAGACAGAAGAATTCTGAGAAACTTCTTTGTGGTGTGTGCGTTCATCTCACATACTTGAAACTTTCCTTTGGTTGAGCAGTTTGGAAACCCTCTTTTTGTTGAATCTACAAGTAGACCTTTGGAGAGCTTTGTGGCCTAAGGCAGAAAAGGAAATATCTTCACATAAAATCTAGACAGAAGCTATATGAGAAAATACTTTTTGATATGTGTTTTCACCTCACAGATTTAAAGCTTTCTTTTGATTGGGCAGTTTTGAAACTCTGTTTTTGTAGAATCTGAAAGTGGACATTTGGAGCGTTTTGCGGCCTGTGGTAGAAAGGGAAAAATTTTCACAAAAAATCTAGACAGAAGTAATCTGAGAAGCTTCTTAGTGTTGTGTGCATTCATCTCACAGACTTAAGCCTTTCTTTTGATTGAACAGTTTTGAAATACTCTTGTTGTAGAATCTGCAAGTGGACATTTGGAACTCTTTGATGCCTATTGTGGAAAAGGAAATATCTTCACATAAAAACTATACAGAAGAATTCTGAGAAATTTCTTTGTGATGTGTGCGTTGATCTCACAGAGTTGAACCTTTCTTTTGATTCAGCAGTTTGGAAACACTCTTTTTCTAGAATCTGCAAGTGGACACTTGGAGCACTTTGGGGCCTGTTGTACTAAAGGAAATATCTTCACATAAAATCTAGACAGAAGCAACCTGAGAAACTTCTTTCTGATGTGTGTGATCATCTCACAGGGTTGAAACTTTCTTTTGATTGAGCAGTTTGGAAACACTCTTTTTGTAGCATCTGCAAGTGGACATTTGGAGCACTTTGAGGCCTGTGGTGGAAAAGCAAAAATCTTCACATGAAAACTAGTCAGAAGAATTTTGAGAAACTTCTTTGTGATGCGTGCGTTAATCTCACGGAGTTGAACATTTCTTTTGATGGAGCAGTTTGGAAACACTCTTTATGTAGAACCTGCAAGCAGACATTTGGAGCACTTTTGGGCCTATTTTAGAAGGGAATATCTTCACATAAAAACTAGACAGAAGAATTCTGAGAAACTTCTTTGTGATGTGTGCATTCATCTCACAGAGTTGAACCTTTCTTTGAATTGAGCAGTTTTGAAACTCTCTTTTTGTAGAACCTGCAAGTGGACATTTGGAGTGCTTTGCGGTCTCTGTGAGAAAAGGAAATATCTTAACATAAAATCTACACAGTAGCAATCTGAGAAACTTCATTGTGATGTGTCATTCATCTCAGAGTTAAAGCTTTCTTTTCATTGAGCAATTTAGAAACACTCTTTTTGTAGAATCTGAAAGTGGACATTTGGAGCACTTTGAGTCCTATGATGGAAAATAAAATATCTCCACATAAAAACCAGACAGAGTTTTGCGGCCTTCAGTAGAAACGGAAATATCTTCACATGAAATCTAGACAGAAGAAATCTGAGAAATATCTTAGTGATGTGTGCATTCATCCCACAGATTTAAACTTTTCTTTTGATGGAGCAGTTTTGAAAATCTATTTTTGTAATATCTGCAAGTGGACATTTTGAGTGATTTGAGGCCTATGGTGGAAAAGGAAATACCTTCACATAAAAGGTAGACAGAAGAATTCTGAGATAATTCTTTGTGATATGTGAGTTCATCTCACAGGATTGAATCTTTCTTTTCATTGAGCAGTTTGGAAACACTCTTTTTGTAGAATCTGCAAGTGGATATTTGGAGCGCTTTGTGGCCTATGGTAGAAAAGGAAATATCTTCACATAAAAACTATATAGAAGCATTCTGGGAAACTTCTGTGTGATGTGTATGTTCATCTCACAGAGTTGAACCTTTCTTTGGATTGAGCATTTTGGAAACACTCTTTTTGTAGAATCTGCAGGTGAACATTTGGAGCACTTTACGGTCTATGGTAGAAAAGGAAATATCTTCACATAAAATCTAGACAGAAGCAATCTGTGAAACTTCTTTGTGATTTGTGTATTCATCTCACAGAGTTAACCCTTTCTTTTGATTGAGCAGTTTTCAAACTCTCTTTTTGTCGAATCTGCATTTGTACATTTGGAAGGCTTTGAGACCTATGGTGAAAAAGGAATTATCTTCTCATAAAAACTAGAAAGACAAATTCTGAGAAACTACTTTGTGATGTGTGCGTTCCTCTCACAGAGTTGAAACTTTCTTTTGTTTGGGTCATTTGGAAACACTCTTTTTGTTGAATCTGCAAGTGGACATTTGGAGCACTTTGTGGTCTGTGGCAGAAAAGGAAATATCTTCACATAAAATCTAGACAGAAGCAATCTGAGAAAATTCTTTCTGATGTGAGAATTCATCTGACAGAGTTAAACCTTTCTTTTGATGAAGTAGTTTTGAAACTATCTTTGTACGATCTGCAAGTGGACGTTTGTAACGCTTTGAGGTCTATGGTGGAAAAGGAAATATATTCAAATAACAAATTTACAAGAAAACAACAAACAACCCCATCAAAAAGTGGGCGAAGGACATGAACAGACACTTCTCAAAAGAAGACATTTATGCGCCAAAAGACACATGAAAAAATGCTCATCATCACTGGCCATCAGAGAAATGCAAATCAAAACCACAATGAGATATCATCCCACACCAGTTACAATGGCAATCATTAAAAAATCAGGAAACAACAGGTGCTGGAGAGGATGTGGAGAAATAGGAACACTTTTACACTGTTGGTGGGACTGTAAACTAGTTCAACCATTGTGGAAGTCAGTGTGGCAATTCCTCAGGGATCTAGAACTGGAAATACCATTTGACCCAGCCATCCCCTTACTGGGTATATGCCCAAAGGACTACAAATCATGCTGCTATAAAGACACATGCACACGTATGTTTATTGCGGCATTATTCACAATAGCAAAGACTTGGAACCAAGCCAAATGTCCAACAATGATAGACTGGATTAAGAAAATGTGGCACGTATACACCATGGAATACTATGCAGCCATAAAAAATGATGAGTTCATGTCCTTTGTAGGGACATGGATGAAATTGAAAATCATCATTCTCAGTAAACTATCACAAGAACAAAAAACCAAACACCGCATATTCTCACTCATAAGTGGGAATTGAACAATGAGAACACATGGACACAGGAAGGGGAACATCACACTCTGGGGACTGTTGTGGGGTGGGGGGAGGGGGGAGGGATAGCATTGGGAGATACACCTAATACTAGATGACGAGTTAGTGGGTGCAGCGCACCAGCATGGCACATGTATATATATGTAACTAACCTGAACGATGTGCACATGTACCCTAAAACTTAAAGTATAATAATAAAAAATAAAAATAAATAAAAATAAACTAGGCAGAAATATTCTGAGAAACAACTTTGTGATGTGTGTGTTCGTCTCACAGAGTTGAACATTCCTTTTGATTTAGCAGTTTGCAAACACACTTTTTGTAGAATCTGCAAATTGTCATTTCGAGCGCTTTGCGGCCTTTGGTAAAAAAGGGAATATATTCACATAAAATCTAGACAGAAGTAATCTGAGAAATTTCTTTGTGATATGCGCATTCATCTCACAGACTTCAATATTTCTTTTGATTTAGCAGTTTTGAAACTCTCTTTTTGTAGAACCTGCAAGTGGACATTTGGAGCGCATTGAGGCCAATGGTTGAAATGGAAATATCTTCCCATAAAAACTAGACAGAATAATTCTGAGAAACTTCTTTGTGATGTATGCGTTCATCTCACAGAGTTGAAACTTTCTTTTGAGTGAGCAGTTTGGAAAGACTCTTTTTGTAGAATCTGCAACTGGACATTTGGAGCGCTTTACGGCCTATGACAGAAAATGAAATATCTTCACATAAAATCTAGACAGAAGCAATCTGAGAAACTTCTTTGTGATGTGTACATTCATCTGACAGAATTAAACCGTTGTTTTGATGAAGCAGTTTTGAAACTCTATTTTTGTACCACCTGCAAGAGGACATTTGGAACGCTTTGAGGTCTATGGTGGAAAAGGAAATATCTTCACATAAAATCTAGACAGAGGCAATCTGAAAAACTACTTTGTGATGTGTGCATTCATCCCACAGAGATAAACTTTTCTTTTCATTGAGAAGTTTTGAAAGTCTATTTTTCTAGAATCTGCAAGTGGACATTTGGAGTGATTTGAGGCCTATGGTGGAAAAGGAAATATCTTAACAGAAAAACTAGACAGTAGAATTCCAAGAAACTTCTTTGTGATGTGTGTGTTAATCTCACAGGATTGAACCTTTCTTTTCATTGAGCAGTTTGGAAACACTCTTTTTGTAGAATCTGCAAGTGGACATTTGGAGCGCTTTGTGGCCTATGGTAGAAAAGGAAATATCTTCACATAAAAAACTATACAGAAGCATTCTGAGAAACTTCTTTGTGATGTGTATGTTCATCTCACAGAGTTGAAACTTTCTTTGGATTGAGCAGTTTGGAAACACTGTTTTTGTAGAATCTGCAGGTGAGCATTTGGAGCGCTTGGTGGCCTATGGTAGAAAAGGAAATACCTTCACATAAAATCTAGACAGAAGCAATCTGAGAAACTTCTTTGTGATGTGTGCATTCATCTCACAGAGTTAACCCTTTGTTTGACTGAGCAGTTTTGAAACTCTCTTTTTGTAGAATCTTCATGTGGACATTTGGAGCGCTTTGAGACCTGTGGTGGAAAAGGAAATATCTTCACATAAACCTAGATGGAAACATTCTGAGAAACTTCTTCGTGATGGGTGCATTCATCTCACAGAGTTGAAACTTTCTTTTGATGGACCAGTTTTGAAATACTCTTTTTGTAGAATCTGCAAGTGGACATTTCGACAGCCATGAGGCCTATGGTGGAGAATGAAATGTCTTCACATAAAAATTAGACAGAAGAATTCCGAGAAACTTCTTTGTGATGTGTGCCTTCATCTCACAGAGTTGAAACGTTCTTTTGATTGAGTAGTTTGGAAACACTCTTTTTGTAGAATCCGCAAGTGGACTTTCGGAATGCTTTATGGCCTATAGTAGAAAAGGAAATATCTTCACATAAAATCTAGGAGAAGCAATCTGAGAAACTTCTTTGTGATGTGTGCATTCATCTCACAGAGTTAAAGCTGTCTTTTGATTGAGCAGTTTTGAAACTCTCTTTTTGTACAATCTGCAAGTGGACATTTGGAGCACTTTGAGGCCTATGGTGGAAAAGGAAATATCTTCACACAAAAACGAGGCAGAATAATTCTGAGAAACTTCTTCGTGATTTGTGCTTACATCCCACAGAGTTGAACCTTTATTTTGACTCAGCAGTTTGGAAACACTCTTTTTGTAGAATCTGGAAGTGGATATTTGGAGTGCTTTGCAGACTATGGTAGAAAAGGAAATATCTTCACATAAAATCTAGACAGAAACAATCTGAGAAACTACTTTGTGATGTGTGCATTCATCTCACAGAGTTAAAGTTTTGTTTGAGCAGTTTTGAAATCTCTTTTTGTAGAATCTTCAAGTGGACATTTGGAGCGTTTTGAGGCCTATGGTGGAAAAGGAAATATCTTCACATAAAAACCAGACAGAAGAATTCTGAGAAACTTCTTTGTGATGTGTGCATTCATCTCACAGGATTGAACCTTTCTTTTCATTGAGCAGTTTTGAAACACTCTTTTTGTAGAATCTGCAAGTGGACATTTGAAGTTCTTTGCTTCCTCTGGTAGAAAAGAAAATATCTTCACCTTAAATGTAGACATAAGCAATCTGAGAAACTTCTTTGTGATGTGTGCATGCATCTCACAAAATTAATCATATGTTTGCTTAAGCAGTTTTGAATCTCTCTTTTTGTAGATTCTGCAAGTGGACATTTGGAACACTTTGAAGCCTATGGTAGAAACCGAGATATGTTCATATAAAAACTAGACAAAAGAATTCTGAGAATCTACATTGTGATGTGTACGTTCTTCTCACAGAGCTGAACCTTTCTTTTCATTGAGCAGTTTGGAAACACTCTTTTTGCAGAATCTGCAAGTGGGCATTAGGTGCGCTTTGCAGTCTTCAGTAGAAAAGGAAATATCTTAACATAAAATCTAGACAGAAGCAATCTGAGAAACTTCTTTGTGATGTCAGCATTCATCTCACAGAGTTAAAACTTTCTTTTGATTGAGCATTTATGAAACTCTTTTTTTAAAATCTACAAGTGGACATTTGGAGCTCTTTGAGGAATATGGTGGTAAAGGAAATGTCTTCACATAGAAACTAGGCAGAAGAATTCCGAGAAACTTCTTTGTGATGTGTGCGTTCATCTCAAAGAGTTGAAACTTTCTTTTGATTGAACAGTTTGGAAACTCTCTTTTTGTAGAATCTGCAAGTGGACATTTGGAGCGCTTTGAGGCCTATGGTGGAAAAGGAAATATCTTCACATAAAAACTAGAGAGAAGAATTCTGATAAACTGCTTGTTGATGTGTGCGTTCATCTCACAGATTTGAACCGTTCTTTTGATAGAGCAGTTTGGAATCAATGTTTTTGTAGAATCTGCAAATGGACATTTGGAGCACTTTGCGGTCTATGGTAGAAAAGGTAATATCTTCACATAAAATCTAGACAAAAGCAATCTGAGAAACTTCTTCGTGATGTGTGCGTTCATCTTACAGAGTTAAAACTTTCTGTTGCTTGAGCAGTATTGAAACTCTCTTTTTGTAGAATCTGCAAGTGGACATTTGGAGCGCTTTGTGGCTGATGCTGGAAAAGGAAATATCCTCACATAAAAACTAGACAGAAGAATTCTGAGAAACTTCTTTGTGATGTGTGCATTCATCTCACAGAGTTGAACCTTCCTTTTTATTGAGCAGTTTGGACACACTCTTTTTGTAGAATCTACAAGTAGAAATTTGGAGAGATTTGCAACTTATGGTAGAAAAGAAAATATCTTCACATAAAATCTAGACAGAAGCAATCTGAGAAACTTCTTTGTGTTGTGTGCATTCATTCACAGAGTTTAACCTTTGTTTTGGTTGAGCAGTTTTTAAAGTCTCTTTTTGTAGAATCTGCAAGTGGACATTTGGAGCTCTTTAACGCCTATTGTGGAAAAGGAAATATCTTCACATAAAAACTAGACAGAAGAATTATGAGAAACTTCTTTGTGATGTGTGCGTTATTCTCACAGAGTTGAACCTTTCTTTTGATTGAGCAATTTTTAAACGCTCTTTTTGTAGTATCTGCAAGTGGACATTTGTAGCACCTTGTGGCCTATGGTAAAAAAGGAAATATCTTCACATAAAATCTATACAGAAGCGATCTGAGAAACTTCTTTGTGATGTGTGCGTTCATCTTACAGAGTTGAACTTTTCTTTTGATTGAACACTTTGGAAACTGTCTTTTTGTAGAATCTGCAAATGGACATTTGGAGTGCTTTCTGGCCTATGGTATAAAAGGAAATATCTTCACATGAAATCTAGACAAAAGCAATCTGAGAAATTTCTTTGGGATGTGTGCATCCATCTCACAGAGTTGAACCTTTCTTTTGATAGAGCAGTTCTGAAACTCTCTTTTTGCAGAATCTGAAAGTGGATATTTGGAGCACTTTGAGGCCTATGGTGGAAAAGGTAATATCTTCAAATAGAAACTACACAGAAGAATTCTGACAAATTACTCTGTGATGTGTGCGTTCATCTCACAGAGTTGAACTTTCTTTCGATTGAGCAGGTTGGAAACATTCTTTTTGTAGAATCTGCATGTGGACATTTGCAGAGTTTTGAGTCCTATGGTGGAAAAGGAAATATCTTCACATAAAAACTAGACAGAGGAATTCTGAGAAACTTCTTTGTGTTGTGTGTGTTCATCTCACAGAATTGAAATTTTCTTTTGATTGAGCAGTTTGGAAACACTTTTTTTGTAGAATCTGCAAGTGGATATTTGGAGCGCTTTGCAGCCTATTGTAGAAAAGGAAATACCTTCACATAAAATCCAGACAGAAGCAATCTGAGAAACTTCTTTGTGATGTGTGCGTTCATCTCAGAGTTAACACTTTCTTTTGATTGTGCAGTTTTGAAACTCTCTTTTTGTAGAATCTGCAAGTGGACATTTGGAGCTTTTTGAGGCCTTTGGTGGAAAAGGACATATCTTCACATAAAAACTAGACAGAATAATTCTAAGAAACTTTTTTTGATGTGTTATGCCTTTCTCACAAAGTTGAACCTTTCATTTGAATCAGCAGTTTGGAAACACTCTTTTTGTAGAATCTACAAATGGACATTTGGATCGCTTTGCGGCCTATTGTAGAAAAGGAAGTATCTTCACTTAAAATCTAGACAAAAGCAATCTCAGAAAATTCTTTGTGATGTGTGCATTCATCTCAAAGAGTTAAACCTTTATTTTCATTGAGTAGTTTTGAAACTCTCTTTTGTAGAATCTGCAAGTGGACATTTAGAGTGCTTTGAGGCCTGTAGTGCAAAAGGAAATATCTTCACATAAAAACTACGCAGAAACATTCTGAGAAACTTCTTTGTGATGTGTGCATTCATCTCTCAGAGTTGAATCTTTCTTTTGGTGGAACAGTTTTGAAATACTCTTTTTGTAGAATCTGCAAGTGGACATTGTGAGCACCTTTAGGCCTAAGGTGGAAAAGGAAGTATCTTCATATAAAAACTAGACAGAAGAATTCTGACAAACTTCTTTGTGATGATTGTGTTCATCTCACAGAGTTGAACATTTCTTTTGATGAAGCAGTTTGGAAACACTCTTTTTGTAGTATCTGCAAGTGGACATTTGGAATGCTTTGTGGCCTATGGTAGAAAAGGAAATATCATCACATAAAATCTAGACAGAAGCAATCTGAAAGACTTCTTTGTTATGTGTGCATTCATCTCCCAGATTTGAACCATTCTTTTGATGGACCAGTTAGGAAATACACTTTTTGTAGGATATGCAAGTGTAAATTTGTAGCGCTTTAAGGCCTATGGTGGAAAAGGAAATATCTTCATATAAAAACTAGTCAGAAGAATTCTGAGACACTTCTTTGTGATGCGTGCATTCAGCTCACAGGGTTGAACCTATCTTATGATTGAGCAGTGTTGAAACACTCTCTTTCTAGAATCTGCAAGTGGATATTTGGAGTGCTTTGAGGTCTACTGTGGGAAAGGAAATATCTTCACATAAAAACTACACAGAAACATTCTGAGAAACTTCTTTGTGATGTGTGGATTAATCTCACAGTGTTCAACATTTATTTTGATTGAGCAGTTTTGAAACACTGTTTTTGTAGAATCTGCAAGTGGATATATGGAGCCCTTGGAGGCCTACGGTGGAAAAGCATATATGTTCACATAAAAACTGCACAGAAGCATATTGAGAAATTTCTTTGTGATGTGTGCATTCATCTCACAGAGTTGAACCTTTCTTTTCATTGAGCAGTTTTGAAACACTCTTTTTGTAGTATCTGCAAGTGGATATTTGGAGCACTTTGAGGCCTATTGTGGAAAAGGAAATATGTTCACATAAAAACTACAGAGAAGCATTCTGAGACACATCTTTGTGATGTTTGCATTCAACTCACAGAGTTGAACCTATCTTTTGATTAAGCAGTTTTGCATCTCTTTTTTTGTAGAATCTGCAAGTGGATAATTGGAGCCCTATGCCACCTACGAAGGAAAAGGAAATACCTTCAAATAAAAACTACACAGAGGTATTCTGAGAAACTTCTTTGTGATGTTTGTTTTCGTCTCACAGAGTTGAACCTATCTTATGATTAAGCAGTTTTGAAACACTCTCTTTGTAGAATCTGCAAGTGGATACTTGGAGTGCTTTGAGGCCTACTATGGCAAAGAAATAGCTTCACATAAAAACTACACAGAAGCATTCTGAGAAACTTCTTTGTGATGTATGCATTCATCACACGAAATTCCAACTTTCTTTTGATTCAGCAGTTTTCAAACACTGTTCTTGTAGAATCTGCAAGTCAGTATTTGCAGGGTTTTGAGGCTCACTGCGGAAAAGCAAGTATCTTCACATAAAAACTACACAGAAGCATTCTGAAAAACTTCTTTGTGATGTGTGCATTCATCTCACAGGGTTGAACCTATCTTACGATTGAGCAGTTTTGAAACACTCTCTTTCTAGTATCTGCAAGTGGATATTTGGAGTGCTTTGAGGCTTATTGTGGAAAAGGAAATATCTTCACATAAATACTATACAGAAGCATTCTGAGAAACTTATTATTGATGTGTGTATTCAACTCAGAGTGTTGAACCTCTCTTTTCATTGAGCAGTTTTGAATCTGTCTTTTTGTAGAATCTGCAAGTGGACATTTGGAGCCCTTTCTGACATATGGAGGAAAAGGAAATATCTTCCAATAAAAACTACACAGAAGCATTCTCAGAAACTTCTGTGTGACGTGTACATTCATCTCAGAGATTTGAACCTTTCTTTTGATTGAGCAGTTTTTAAACACTCTTTTTTTAGAAATTGCAAGTAGATATTTGGAGCGCTTTGAGGCCTATTATGGTAAAGGAAATATCTTCACATAAAAACTACACAGAAGCATTCTGAGAAACTTCTTTGTGATGTGTGCATTCAACACACAGAGTTGAACCCGTCTTCTGATTGAGCAGTTTTGAATCTCACTTTTTGTAGAATGTGCAGGTGGATATTTCGAGCCCTTTGCGGCATATGGTAGAAAAGGAAATATCTTCACATAACAACTACTCAGAAGTATTCTGATAAACTTCTTTGTGATGAGTGCATTCAACTCATAGAGTTGAACATATCTTTTTATTGAGCAGTTTTGAATCTCTTTTTTGTAGAATCTTCAAGTGGATATTTGGAGCTCTTTAAGGCGTACGTTGGAAAAGGAAATATCTTCAAATATAAACTACGCAGAATCATTCTGAGAAAATTCTTTGTGATGTATGCATTCATCTCACAGAATTGAACCTTTCTTTTGATTGAACAGTTTTGAAACACTCTTTTTGTAGAATCTACACGTGGATACTTGAGCGCTTTGAGGCCTATAGTGGAAAAGGAAACATCTTCACATAAAAACTACACAGAAGCATTCTGAGAAACATCTTTGTGATGTGTGCATTCAACTCACATTGTTGAACTAATCTTTTGATTGAGCAGTTTTGAATCTCTCTTTTTGTAGAATCAGCAATTGGATATTTGGAGCCCTTTGCATCCTATGGAGGAAAAGGAAATATCTTCACATGAAAACTACACAGAAGCATTCTGAGAAACTTCTTTGTGATGCGCGCATTCATCTCACAGAGTTGAACCTAACGTATATTTCAGCAGTTCTAAAACACTGTTTTTGTAGAATCTGCAAGGGGATATTTGGAGCGCTTTGAGGCCTACTGTGGAAAATCAAATATGTTCACATAAAAACTACACAGAATCATTCTGAGAAACTTCGTTGTGCTGTATGCATTCATCTCACAGAGTTGAACCTATCTTATGATTGAGCAGTTTTGAAAAACTCTCTTTGTAAAATCTGCAAGTGAATACTTGGAGAGCTTGGAGGCCTATTGTGGCAAAGAAATGTCTTCACATAGAAATTACACAGAAGCATTCACAGAAACTTCTTTGTGATGTGTGCATTCATCTCAGAGAGTTGAAACTTTCTTTTGATTGAGCACTTTTGAAACCCTGTTTTTGTAGTATCTGCAATGGAAATTTGGAGCGCTTTGAGTCCTACTGTGGAAAAGCAAATATCTTTACATAAAAACTACACAGAAGCATTCTGAGATACTTCTTTGTGATGTCTGCATTCATCTCACAGAGTTGAAACTTTATTTTGATTGAGCAGTTTTGAAACACTCTTTTTGTATGATATGAAAGTGGATATTTGCAGTGTTTTGAGTCCTATTGTTGAAAAGGAAATATCTTAACAAAAAAAATACACAGAAGCTTCCTGAGAAACTACTTTGTGATGTGTGCATTCAACTCACAGAGTTGAACCTATCTTTTGATTGTGAAGTTTTTAATCTCTCTTCTTGTAGAATCTGGAAGTGGATATTTGGAGCCCTTTGTGGCCTATGGAGGTAAAGGAAATATCTTCAAATAAAAACTACACAGAAGCATTCTGAGAAACTTATTTGTGATGTGTGCATTCATCTCACACAGATGAATCTATCTTATTATTGAGCAGTTTTGAAACACTCTCTTTGCAGAAACTTCAGGTGGATATTTTGAGCGCGTTGTGACTTATTGTGTAAAAGGAAATATCTTCACATAAAAACTACTAGAAGCATTCTGAGAAACTACTTTGTGATGTGGGTATTCATTGAGCAGAGTTGAACCTTCCTTTTGATTGAGCAGTTTTGAAACACTGTTTGTATAGAATCTGTATAGGCCGCTTTGAGGTCAACTGTGGAAAAGCAAATATCTTCATGTAAAAACTACATAGACGCATTCTGAGAAACTTCTTTGTGATGTGTGCATTCATCCCACAGAGTTGAAAGTTTGTTTTGATTGAGCAGTTTTGAATCTCTCTTTTTGTAGAGTCTGCAACTGGATATTTGGAGCCCTTTTAGGCCTATTATGGAAAAGGACATATCTTTACATAAAAACTACACAGAAGCATTCAAAGAAACTAGTTTGTGATGTGTGCATTCAAATCACTGAGTTGAACCTATCTTTTGATTGAGCAGTTTTGAATTTCTCTTTTTGTATAATCTGCAAGTGGATATTTGAAGCTCTTTGCGGCCTACAGAGGAAAAGGAAATATCTTCAAATAAATACTACACAGAAGAATTCTAAGAAACTTCTGTGTGATGTGTGCATTCATCTCATAGATTTGAACCTATCTTATGATTGAGCAGTTTTGAAACACTCTCTTTGTAGAATCTGAAAGTTGATAATTGGAGGGCTTTCAGGCCTGTTTTGGAAAAGGAAATATCTTCACATAAAAACTACACAGAAGAATTCTGTGAAACTTCTTTGTGATGTGTGCATTCATCTCACAGAGTTGCACCTTTCTTTTGATTGTGCACTTTTGAAACACTTTTTTTGTAGAATCTGCAAGTGGATATTTGGAGCCCTTTGTGGCCTACATTGGAAAAGGAAATATCTCCAAATAGAAACTACGCAGAAGCATTTTGAGAAACTTCTGTGTGAAGTGTGCATTCATCTCACAGAGTTGAACTTTCGTTTTGATTGAGAAGTTTTGAAAACTCTTTTTGTAGAATCTGCAAGTGGATATTTGGAGTGCTTTGAGGCCTATTGTGGAAAATGAAATATCTTCACATAAAAACTACACAGAAGCATTCTGAGAAACTTCTTTGTGATGTGTGCATTCAACTCGCAGACTTGAACCTATCTTTTGATTGAGCAGCTTTGAATCTCTGTTTTTCTAGAATCTGCAAGTGGATATTTGGAGCCCTTTGTGGCCTATGGACGATAAGGAAATATCTTCTAGTAAACACTGCAGAGACGCATACTGAGAAACTTCTTCGTGATGTGTGCCTTCATATCACAGAGTTGAACCTATCTTATGATTGAGCAGATTTGAAACATTCGCTTTGTAGAATCTGCAAGTGGATATTTGGAGTGCTTTGAGGCCTCCGGTGGAAAGGCAAATGTCTTCACATTAAAATTATATGGAAGTATTCTGAGAAACTTCTTCATGATGTGTGCATTCATCTCACAGAGTTGATACTTTCCTTTGATTGGACAGTTTTGAAACACTGTTTTCGTAAAACCTACAAGTGGATATTGGAGCACTTTGAGGCCTACTATGGAAAAGCAAATATCTTCACATAAAAACTACACAGAAGCATTCTGAGTAATTTCTTTGTGATGTGTGCATTCATCTAAAAGAGTTGAAATTTCCGTTGAATGAGCAGTTTTGCAACCCTCTTTTTGTAGAATCTGCAAGTGGATATTTGGAAAGCTTTGAGGTCTATTGTGGAAAACGAAATATCTACACATAAAAACTACACAGAAGCATTCTGAGAAACTACTTTGTGATGTGTGCATTAGACTCACAGAGGTGAACTTATCTTTTGATTGAGCAGTTTTGAATCTCTCTTTTTGTAGAAGCTGCAAGTGGATATTTGGAGCCCTTTGCGGCCCATGGAGGAAAAGGAAATACCTTCAATTAAAAACTACACAGAAGCATTCTGAGAAACTTCTTTGTGATGCGTGCATTCATCTCACAGAGTTGAACCTTTCTTTTGATTCAGCAGTTTTGAAACACTGTTTTTATTGAATCTGCAAGTGGATATTTGGAGTGCTTTGAGGCCATCTGTGGAAAAGCAAGTATCTTCGGATAAAAACTACACAGAATCCTTCTGATAAATATCTTTGTGATGTGTGCATTCATCTCGCAGAGTTGAACCTATCTTATGATTGATCAGTTCTGAAACATTCTTTTTGTAGAATCTGAAAGTGGATAATTGGAGCGCTTTCAAGCCTATTGTGGAAAAGGAAATATCTTAACATAAAAACTACACAGAAGCATTCTGAGAAACTTCTTTGGGATGTGTGCATTCATCTCACAGAATTGAACCTACCTTATGATTTAGCTGTTTTGAAACACTCTCTTTGTAGAATCTGCAAGTGGGTATTTGGAGCGTTTTGAGGCTTTTTGTGGAAAAGGATATATCTTCACATAAAAACTACACAGAAGCATACTGAGAAACTTCTTTGTGATGAGTGCATTCGTCTCACAGATTTCAACATACCTTCTGATTGAGCAGTTTTGAATCTCTCTTTCTGTAAAATCTGCAAGTGGATATTTTGAGCCCTTTGTGGCCTATGGTGGAAAAGGAAATATCTTCACATAAAAACTTCACAGAAGCATTCTGAGAAACATCTTTGTGATGAGTGCATTCATCAAACAGAGTTGAACACTTCTTTTGATTGAGCAGTTTTGAAACAGTCTTGTTGAAGAATCTGCAAGTGCATATTTGGAGCACTTTGGGGTCTACTTTGGAAAAGCAAATATCTTCACATAAAAAATTCACAGAAGCCTTCTGAGAAACTTCTTAGTGATGTGGGCATTCATCTCACAGAGTTGAACTTTTCTTTGGACAGTGCAGTTTTGAAAAACTCTTTTTGTAGAATCTGCAAGTGGATATATGGAGCGCTTTGATGCCTATTGTGGAAAAGGAAATATCTTCACATAAAAACTATGCAAAAGCATTCTGAGAAAGTTCTTTGTGATGTGTGCATTCATCTTATGGAGTTGAACCTATCCTTTGATTGAGCAGTTTTGAATCTCTCTGTTTCTAGAATCTGCAAGTGGATATATGTAGCCCTTCGCAGCCTATGGAGGAAAAGGAAATATCTTCCAATAAAAACTGCACAGAAGCATTCTGACAGAAGCATTCTGAGACACATCTTTAAGATATGTGCATTCAACTCACGTAGTTAAATCTATCTTTTGATTGAGCAGTTTTGAATCTCTCTTTTTGAAGAATCTACAAGTGGATATTTGGAGCCCTTTACAGCATAAGGTGGAAAAGGAAATATCTTCAAGTAAAAACTACATAGAAGCATTCTGAGAAACTTCTTTTTGATGTGTGCATTCATCTTACAGAGTTGAACCTATCTTATGATTGAGCACTTTTGAAACAATCTTTTTATACAATCTGCAAGTGGAAATTTGGAGCACTTTGAGGACTATTGTGGAAAAGCATGTATCTTCACATAAAAACTGCACAGAAGCATTCTGAGAAACTTCTTTGTGATGAGTGCATTAATCACACAGAGCTGAACCTATCTTTTGATTGAGCAGTTTTGAATCTCTCTTTTTGTAGAATCTGCAAGTGGATATTAGGAGCCCTTTGTGGCCTCTTGTGATAAAGGAAATATCTTCCCAAAAAAACTACACAGAAGCATTCTGAGAAACTACTTTGTGATGAGTCCATTCACCACACAGAGTTGAAAATTTCTTTGACTGAACAGTTATGAAACACACTTTTTGTAGAGTCTGCAAGTGGATATCTGGAGGGCTTTGAGGCCTATTTTGGAACAGGAATTATCTTCCCATAAAAACTACACAGAAGCATTCTGAGAAACTTCTTTGTGATGTGTGCCTTCATCTCACAGAGATGAACCTAGTTTTTCATTAAGCAGTTTTGAAACACTGTTTTTGCGAGTCTATAAGTTGATATTTGGAGCACTTTGAGGCCGACAGTGGAAAAGTAAATATCTTCACATAAAAACTACACATAAACAATCTAAGAAACTTCTTTGTGATGTGGGCATTCACCTCACAGAGTTGAAACTTTCTTTTGATTGAGCAGTTTTAAAACACTATTTTTGTAGAATCTGCAAGTGGATATTTTTAGTGCTTTGAGGCGTATTGTGTAAAAGGAAATATCTTCACATAAAAACTACACAGAAGTATTCTGAGAAACTTCATTGTTATGTGTGCATTTAACTCACAGTTTTGAATCTATCTTTTGATTGAGCACTTTTGAATCTCTCTTTTTGTAGAATCTGAAAGTGGATACTTGGAGACCTTGGCGGCCTATGGTGGAAAAGGAAACATCTTCACATAAAAACTACACAGAAGCATTCTGAGAAACTTCTTTGTGATGTGTACTTTTATCTCACAGAGCTGAACTTTTCTTTTGATTCAGCAGTTTGGACACACTCTTTTTGTATAATCTTCAACTGGATATTTGGAGCCCTTTGAGGCCTATCGTGTAAAGGGAAACATCTTCACATAAAAACTACACAGAACGATTCTGAGAAACTTCCTTGTGATGTGTGCATTCATCTCACAGGGTTGAACCTTTCTTTTCATTGAACAGTTTGGAAACACACTTTTTGTAGAATCTTCAGGTGGATAATTTGATCACTTTGAGGCCTATGTTGGAAAAGGAAATACCTTCACATAAAAACTACACAGAAGCATTTTCAGAAACTTTTTTCTGATGTGTGCATTCAACTCACAGGGTTGAACCTATCTCTTGATTGAGCAGTTTTGAAACTCTCTTTTTGTAGAATCTGGAAGTGGATATTTGGAGTTGTGAAAAAGGAAATATCTTCACATAAAAACTACACAGAAGCATTCACAGAAACTACTTTGTGATGAGTGCATACATCACAAAGAGTTGAAATTTTCCTTCAATTGAGCAGCTTTGAAACACTCTTTTGTAGAATCCGGAAGTGCATATTTACAGGACTTTGAGGCCTATTTGAGAAAGGAAATATCTTTACATAAAAACTACACAGAAGCATTATGGGAAACTTCTTTGTGATGTGTGCATTCAACTCAGATAGTTGAACCTATCTTTTCATTGAGAAGTTTTGAAACTCTCCTTTTGTAAAATCTGCAGGTGGATATTTGGACCACGTAGCAGCCTATGGTGGAAAAGGAAATATCTTCACGTAAAAACTACACAGTAGCATTCTGAGAAACTTCTTTGTGATATGTGCATTCATCACACGGAGTTGAAGCATTCTTTTGATTAAGCAGTTTTGAAATACTCTTTTTGCAGAATCTTCAAGTGGATATTTGGAGCGCTTTGAGGGCTATTGTGGAAAAGGAAATATCTTCACAGAAAAACTACACAGAAGGATTCTGAGAAACTTTTTTGTGATGTGTGCATACATCTCACAGAGTTGAAACTTTCTTTTGATTGAGCAGTTTTAAAACCCTCTTTTTGTAGAATCTTCAAGTGGATATTTGGGGGGCTTTGAGGCCTATTGTGGAAAAGGAAATATCTTCACACAAAAAATACACAGAAGCATTCTGAGAAACTACTTTGTGTTATGTGCATTCATCTCACAGAGTTGAAACTTGCTTTTGATTGAGCAGTTTGGAAACACTCTTTTTGTAGAATCTACAAGTGGATATTTGGTGCGCTTCGAGGCCTACTGTGGAAAAGCATGTATCTTCACATAAAAACTGCACAGAAGCATTCTGAGAAACTTCTTTGTGATGTGTGCATTCAACTCACACAGTTGAATCTATCTTTTGATTGAGCAGTTTTGAATCTCTCTTTTTGTAGAATCTGCAAGTGGATATTAGGAGCCCTTTAAGGTCTTTTGTGGAAAAGGAAGTATCTTCATCAAAAACTACACAGAATCATTCTGAGATACTTTATTTTGATTTGTGCATTCATCTCACAGAGTTGAACCTTTCTTTTGATTCAGCAGTTTTATAACATGCTTTTAGTAGAATATGCAATGGATATTTGGGGTGCTTTGAGGCCTATTGTGGAAAACGAATTATCTTCACATGAAAACTACACAGAAGCATTCTGAGAAACTTCTTTGTGATGTGGGCATTCATCTCAGAGTTGAACTTTTGCTTTGATTGAGCAGTTTTGAAAAACACTTTTTGTAGAATCTGCAAGTAGATATTTGGAGCGCTTTGAGGCCTATTGCAGAAAAGGAACTATCTTCACATAAAAATTACACATAAACATTCTGAGAAACTTCTTTGTGATGTGTGCATTCCTCCCACTGAGTTGAACCGTTCTTTTCATTGAGCAGTTTTGTAACAATCTTTTTGTAGAATCTGCAAGTGGATAATTGGAACGCTTTGAGGCCTTTTGTGGAAAAGAAAATATCTACACATAGAAACTACACAGTAGAATTCTGAGAAACTTCTTTGTGATGTGTGCATTCAACTCACAGAGTTGTATCTTTCTTTTGATTGACCAGTTTGGAAACATTCTTTTTGTAGAATCTCCATGTGGATATTTGGAGCCTTTTGCAGCCTACAGTGGAAAAGGAAATATCTTCACATAAAAACTACACAGAAGCATTCAGAGAAACTTCTTTGTGATGTGTGCATTCATCTGACAGAGTTGAAGCATTCTTTTGTTTAAGCAGTTTTGAAATACTCTTTTTGTAGAATCTTCTAGTGGATATTTGGAGCGTTTGACAGCTATTGTGTAAAAGGAAGTATCTTCACATAAAAACTACACAGGAACAGTCTGAGATACTTTTTGTGATGTGTGAATTCATTTCACAGAGGTGAACCTTTCTTTTGATTGTGCAGTTTTGAAATACTCTTTTAGTGCGATCTGCAGGTAGATATTTGCAGCTCTGTAAGGTGTACTGAGGAAAAGGTAATTTCTGCACATAAAAAATACACAGAAGCATTCTTAGAAACTTATTTGTGATGTGTGCATTCAACTCTCGGAGTTGAACCTATCTTTTGATAAGCAGTTTTGAATTTCTCTTTTCTTGGAATCTCCAGGTGGATATTTGGAGCGCTTTGAGGCCTATGGTGTAAAAGGAAATATCTTCACATAAAAACTACACAGAAGCGTTCTGAGAAACTACTTTGTGATGTATGCATTCAACTCACAGAGTCGAACCTACCTTTTGATTAAGCAGTTTTGAATATCTCTTTTTGTAGAACCTGGAAGTGGATATTTAAAGACATTTGCGGCTTGTGGTGGAAAAGGAAATAACTTCACATAAAAACTATGGAGAATCATTCTGTGAAACTTATTTTCATTGTGTTTACTCACCTCATGGAGTTGAAGTTTTCTTTTGATTGAGCAGTTTGGAAACACTCTTTTTGTAGAATCTGCAAGTGAATAGTTGGAGTGCTTTTAGGCCTACGGTTGAAAAGGAAATATCTTCACATAAAAACTACTCGGAAGCATTCTGAGAAACTTCTTTGTGATGTGTGCATTCACCTCACAGGGTTGAAACATTCTTTTGATTGAGCAGTTTTGAAACACTCTTTTTCTAGAATGTGCAAGTGTATATTTGCAGGGCTTTGTTGACTATTGCGGAAAGGGAAGTATGTTCACATAAAAATTACACAGAAGCATTCTGAGAAATTTCTTGTGATGTGTGCATTCACCTCACAGAGTTGAAACTTTCTTTTGATTGAGCATTTTTGAAACACTCTTCTAGTACAATCTGAAAGTGGATATTTGGAGCCCTTTGAGGTCTATTGTGGAAAAGGAAATATCTTCACATAAAAAGTAATCAGAAGCATTCTGAGAAACTTCTTTGTGATGTATGCATTCATCTCACAGAATTGAACCCTTCTTTTCATTAGCACTTTGGAAACTCTCTTTTTGTAGTGACTAGAAGTGGACATTTGGAGCTCTTTGAGGCCTATTGTGGAAAATGAAATATCTTCACATAAAAACTATACAGAAGCATTCTTAGAAAGTTCTTTGTGATGTGTGCTTTCAACTCAAAGAATTGAAACTTTTTTTGATTGAGCAGTTTTGAAACACTCTTTTTGTAGAATCTGCAAGTGGATATTAGGGGTGCTTTGAGGCCTATTGTGGAAAAGGAAATATCTTCACATAAAAACTACACAGAATCATTCTGTGAAACTTCTTTGCGAGGTGTTTACTCATCCCACAGAGTTGAAGTTTTCTTTTGAATGAGCAGTTTGGAAACACTCTTTTTGTAGAATCTGCAAGTGGATAGTTGGAGCGATTTGAGGTCTATGGTGTAAAAGGAAATATCTTCACATAAAAACTACACGGAAGCATTCTGAGAAACTTCTTGGTGATGTTGAATTCATCTCACAGAGTAGAACATTTCTTTTGATTGAGCACTTTTGAAACACACTTTTTGTAGAATCTGCAAGTGGATATTTGGAAAGCTTTGAGGACTATTGTGGAAAAGGAAGTATCTTCACAGGAAAAGTACACAGAATCATTCTGGGAAATGTCTTGTGACGTGTGCATTCATCTCACAGAGCGCTTTGAGGCCCATTGTGGAAAAGGAAATATCTTCATATGAAAACTATACAGAAGCATTCTGAGAAACTTCTTTGTGATTTTTGCATTCATCTCACAGTGTTTTACCATTCTTTTGATTGAGCCGTTTGAAAACACTCTTTAGTAGAATCTAAAAGTGGATATTTAGAGCGCTTTGAGGACTATTGTGGAAATTGAAATATCTTCACATAAAAACTACACAGAAGCATTCTGAGAAACTTCTTTGTGATGTGTGCATTCAACTCACAGAGTTGTACCTATCTATTGGTAGAGGATTTTAGAAACTCTCTTTTTGGAGAATCTGCAGGTGAATATTTGGAGCCCTTTGTGGCCTACTGTGTAAAAGGAAATACCTTCACATAAAAACTACACAGAAGAACTCTGAGAAACTTCTTTGTGATGTGCACATTCATCTCGCAGAGTTGAACCTTTCTTTAGACTGAACAGTTTGGAAACTCTCTTTTAATAGAATAAGCAAGTGGATATTTGAAACACTTTGAGGCCTACTGTGGAAAAGAAAATATCTTCACATAAAAATGACACAGAAGCATTCTGATAAACTACTTTGTGATGAGTCCATTAATCTCACGAAGTTGAACCTTTCTTTTCTTTGAGCAGTTTGGAAACAATCTTTACAGAATCTGCAGGTGGATATTTGGAGTGCTTTGAGGCAAATTGTGGAAAAGGAAATATCTTCACATAAAAACTGCACATAAGCATTCTGAGAAACTTCTTTATGATGTGTGCATTCAACTCACAGACTTGAACCTTTCTTTTGATTGAACAGTTTTGAAACACTCTTTTTGTAGAATCTGCAAGTGTATATTTGTAGCCCTTTGAGGCCTACTGTGGAAAAGGAAATATCTTCACATAAAAACTACACAGAAGCATTCTGAGAAACTTCTTTGCTATGCGTGCATTCCCCTCAAAGAGTTGAACCTCTCTTTTGATTGAGCACTTTTGAAACGCCCTTTTTGTAGAATCTGCAAGGGGATATTTGGAGTCCTTTAAGGCCTATTTTGGAAAAGGAAATATCTTCACATAAAAACTACACAAAAGTATTGTGAGAAACTTCTTCATGATGTGTGAATTCGTCTCATAGAGTTGAACCTTTCTTTTCATTGATCAGTTTGGAAACACTCTTTTTGTAACATCTGCAGGTGGATGTTTGGAGCACTTTGTGGTGAATGGTGTAAAAGGAAATATCTTTACAAAAAAGTACGCAGAAGCATTCTGAGACACCTCTTTGAGATGTGTGCATTCAAGTCACCGGGTTGAGCCTATCTTTTTATAGAGCAGTTTTGAAACTCTGTCTTTGCAGATTCTGTAAGTGGATATTTGGTGCGTTGTGTGGCCAAATGTGAAAAAGGAAATATCTTCACATAAAAACCACACAAAATAATTCTGAGAAACTTCTTTGTGTTGTGTGCATTCATCTCACAAAGCTGAACCTTTCTTTTGATTGAGCAGTTTTGAAACACTCGTTTTGTAGAATGTGCAAGTCAATGTTTCGAGCACTTTGAGGCCTATTGTGGAAAAGGAAATATCTTCACATAAAAACTACAAAGAAGCATTGTGAGAAACTACTTTGTGACGTGTGCATTCATCACACAGAGTTGAACCTTTCTTTTTATTGAGCAGTTTGGAAACATTCTTTTTGTAGAATCTCCAAGGGGATATTTTTAGCGCTTTGAGATCTTTGGTGGAAAAGGAAATATCTTCACACAGAAACTACACAGAAGCATTCTGAGAAACTTATTTGGGATGTGTGCATTCATCTCACCGAGTTGAATCTATCCTTTGATTGAGCAGTTTTTAATCACTCTTTTTGTAGAATCTGCAAGTGGATATTTGGAGCACATTTAGACCTATGGTGGAAAAGGAAATATCCTCACATAAAAACTATGAAGAAGCATTCTGAGAAACGTCTTTGTAATGTGTACATTCATCTCACAGAGTTGAACCTTTCTTTTGATTGAGCAGTTTTGAAACCGTCTTTTTGTAGAATCTGCAAGTGGATATTTAGAGTGCTTTGTGGCCTGTTGTGGAAAAGAAAATATCTTCACATAAAAACTAGACAGAAGCATTCTGAGAAACTTCTTTGTGATGTGTGCATTCATCTCAGAGAGTTGATCCTTTCTTTTGATTGACCAGTTTGGACACACTCTTTTGTAGAATCTGCAAGTGGATATTTGGAGCGCTTTGAGGCCTATGGTGGAAAAGGAAATATCTTCACATAAAAACTACACAGAAGCATTCTCAGAAACTTTTTTGTGATGTCTGCATTAGACTCACACAGCTGAACCTATCTTTTGATTGAGAAGTTTTGATTCTCTCTTTTTGTAAAATCTGCAAGTGGATATTTGCAGACCTTTCTGGCCTATTTTGGAAAAGGAAATATCTTCACATAAAAAATAGAAGCATGCTGAGAAACTTCTTTGTGATGTGTGTGTTCATCTCAAAAAGTTGAACATTTCTTTTGATTGAGCAGTTATTATTATTATTATACTTTAAGTTTTAGGGTACATGTGCACATTGTGCAGGTTAGTTACATATGTATACATGTGCCATGCTGGTGTGCTGCACCCACTAACTTGTCATCTAGCATTAGGTATATATCCCAATGCTATCCCTCCCCCCTCCTCCCACCCCACAACAGTCCCCAGAGTGTGATGTTCCCCTTCCTGTGTCCATGTGATCTCATTGTTCAATTCCCACCTATGAGTGAGAATATGCGGTGTTTGGTTTTTTGTTCTTGCGATAGTTTACTGAGAATGATGACTTCCAATTTCATCCATGTCCCTAAAAAGGTTATGAACTCATCACTTTTTATGGCTTCATAGTGTTCCATGGTGTGTATAGACTGGATTAAGAAGATTGAGCAGTTTTTAAAGCATCTTTTTGTAGTATCTGCAAGGGGATATTTGGAGCGTTTTGGGGCCTATTGTGGAAAAGGAACTATCTTCACATAAAAACTAGACAGAAGCATTCTGAGAAATTTTTGGCGATCTGTGCATTCAACTCACAGATTTGAACCTTTCTTTTGATTGAACAGTTTTGAAACACTCTTTTTGTAGTATCTGTAAATGGATATTTGAAGCGGTTTGAGGTCTATCGTGGAAAAGGAAATATCTTCACATATAAACTAGACAGAAGCATTCTGAGAAACTTCTCTGTGATAAGTGCCTTCATCTCACAGAGTTGAACCTTTCTTTTGATTGAGCAGTTTTTAAACACTCTTTTTGTTGTATATGCAAGTGGGTATTTGAAGCGATTTGTGGTCTCTGGTGGAAAAGGAAATATCTTCACATAAAAACTAGACAGAAGCACTCTGAGAAACTTCTTTGTGATGTGTGCATTCATCTCACAGTGTTGAAACTTTCTTTTGATTGAGGGTTTTGAAACAGTCTTTTTGATGAATCTGCAAGTGGATATTTGGAGCGAATTGTGGCCTATGGTGTAAAAGGAAATATCTTCACATAAAAACTAGACAGAAGCCTTCTGAGAAACTTCTTTGTGATGTGTGCGTTCATCTCACCAGGTTGAATCTTTCCTTTCATCGAGCAGTATTGAAACACCCTTTTTGTAGAATCTGAAAGTAGATATTTGGAGCGATTGTGTCCTATGGTAGTAAAGGCAATATTTTCACAGAAAAACTAGACAGAAGCATTCTGCGAAACTTCCTCATGATGTGTTCATTTATCTCACCAAATTGAACCATTCTTTTCACTGAGAAGATTTGATACACTCTTTTTGTAGAATGTGCAAGGGAATATTTGGAACGCTTTGATGAGTATGATGGAAAAGGAAATACCTTCACATATAAACTAGATAGAAGCATTCTGAGAAACTTTTCTCTGATATGTGCATTCAACTCACAGAGTTGAACCTTTCTTTTGATTCAGCAGTTTTGAAACACGCTTTTTGAAGAATCTATAAGTGGATATTTGGAGTGCTTAGGGGCCGATGGCGGAAAAGGAAATATCTCCACATAAAAACTAGATGGAAGCATTCTGAGAAACTTCTTTGTGATGTGTGCATTCATCAGAGAGAGTTTAACCTTTCTTTTGACTGAGCAGTTTTGAAACTCTCTTTTTGTAGAATCTGCAAGTGGACTTTTGGAGACACTTGAGGCCTATTGTGGAAAATGGAATATCTTCACATAAAAGCTACACAGAAGCATTCTGAGAAACTTCTTTGTGATGTGCACATTCATCTCACAGATTTGAAAATTTCTTTTGATTGAGCAGTTTTGAAATGCTCTTTTTGGAGAATCGGCCAGTGGATATTTGGAGCGCTTTGAGGACTATGGTGGAAAAGGAAATATCTTCACATAAAAACTAGAGGAAACATTCTGAGAAACTTATTTGTGATGTGTGCATTCCTCTCACAGATTTGAACATTTCTTTTGATTAAGCAGTTTTGAAACACTCTTTTTGTAGAATCTGCTAGAGGATATTTGGAGCACTTTGACGCCTATGGAGGAAAAGGAAATATCTTCACTTAAAAACTAGACAGAAGCATTCTGAGAAACTTCTTTGTGATGTTTGCATTCATCTCACAGAGTTGAAATTTTCTTTTGATTGAGCAATTTTGAGACACTCTTTTTGTAGAATCTGCCTGTGGATAATAGGAGTGCTTTGGGGCATATTTTGGAAAAGGAAATACCTTCACATAAATAGTAGACAAAAGCATTCTGAGAAACTTCTTTGTGATGTGTGCATATACATCACAGAGTTGAACCTTTCTTTTCATTTAGCCTTTTGAAACACTCTTTTTGTAGAATCTGCAAGTGGATATTTGGAGCGCTTTGCGGCCTATGGTGGAAAATAAATATCTTCACATAAAAACTAGACAGAAGCAATCTGAGAAACTTCTTTGTGATGTGTGCATTCATCTCACAGAGTTGAACATTTCTTTTGATTGAGCTGTTTTGAAACACTCTTTTTGTATAATCTGCAAGTGGATATTTAGAGCACTTTGAGGCGTATGGTGGAAAATCAAACATCTTCACATAAAAACTAGACAGCAGCATTCTGAGAAACTTCTTTGTAATGTGTGCATTCATCTCACAGAACTTAACCTTTCTTTTGATTGAGCAGTTTTGAAACACTCTTTTTGTAGAATCTGCAAATGGATATATGGATCGTTTTGAGGTCTACGGTGCAAAAGGATATATCTTCACATAAAAACTAGACAGAATCTTTCTGAGAAACTTCTTTGTGAGGTGCACATTCATCTTACAGTGGTGAACCTTTCTTTTGATTCAGCAGTTTTCAAACATTCTTTTTGTAGAATTTGCAAGCGGATATTTGGAGCGCTTAGGGGCCTATGGTGGAAAAGGAAATATCTCCACATAAAAACTTGATGGAAGCACTCTGAGAAACTTCTTTGATGTGTGCATTCAACTCACAGAGTAGAATCTTTCTTTTGATTTAGCAGTTTTGAAACACTCTTTTTGTAGAATCTGCAAGTGGATATTTGGAGCCCTTTGTGGCCCACAGTGGAAATGGAAATATCTTCACATAAAAACTAGACAGAAGCATTCTGAGAAAGTTCGTGGTGATGTGTGCATTCATCTCACAGAGTTAAATCTTTCTTTTGATTGCACAGTTTTGACACACTCCTTTGTAGAATCTGCAAGTGGATATTTGGAGTGCTTTAAGGCCTATTGTGGAAAAGGAAATATCATCACATAAAAACTACACAGAAGCATTCTGAGAAATTTCTTTGTGATGTGTGCATTCATCTCACAGAGTGGAACTTTCTTTTGATTGAGTAGTGTTGAAACACTCATTTTGTAGAATCTGCAGGAGGGTATTTGGAGCGCTTTGCTGCCTACGGTGTAAAAGGAAGTATCTTCACATAAAAACTAGACGGAAGAATTATGAAAAACTTCTTTGTGATGTGCACGTTCATGTGACAGAGTTGAACCTTTCTTTTGATTGAGCAGTTTTGAAACACTCTTTTTGTAGTATCTGTAAATGGATATTTGAAGCGGTTTGAGGTCTATGGTGTAAAAGGAAATATCTTCACATATAAACTAGACAGAAGCATTCTGAGAAATTTCTCTGTGATTTGTGCATTCATCTCACAGAGTTGAACCTTTCTTTTGATTGAGCAGTTTTGAAACACTCTTTATGTAAAATCTGCAAGTGAATATTTGGAGTGCTTTTAGGCCTTTGGTGGAAAAGCAAATATCTTTGCATCAAAACTAGACAGATGCATTTTAAGAAACTTCTTTGTGATGTGTGCATTCATCTCACAGATTTAAACCTTTCCTTTGATTGAACAGTTTTGAAACACTGTTTTTGGTGAATCTGCAAGTGGATATTTGAAGCGCTTAGAGGCCTATGGTGTAAAACAAACCTATTCACATAAAAACTAGACAGAAGCATTCTGAGAAACTTCTCTGTGATGTGTGCACTCATCTCACAGAGTTGAACCTTTCTTTTCATTGAGTAGTTTTGAAACACTCTTTTTGTAGCATCTGCAAGTGTATATTTGGAGAAGTTTGCCTCCTATGGTGGAAAAGGAAATATCTTCACATAAAAACTAGACAGATGCATTCTGAGAAACTTCTTTGTGAAGTGTGCATTCATCTCACAGAGGTGAACTTCTAGTGTTTTGGACTCATCCAAGCCTCAACATTAGCTTTAAGAGGTCCTTGATCTTTCCAGCAGGAGAAAAATGAACATGCAAAGCTCTCAGTCTCATTGTTATAATCCTCTCAAGGATCAGTCTCATTAGCAGACAGCAGAGTGTTGATCCCTTGTTTCACCAAACTAACCACTTGGCTGAGAGAAGTTGCTGTTAGTCCTAGGGGAAATTTTCATATCCGTTGCAAGCTCTTCAAGTATTTGTGTATTTTCCCCTTTCAGAAAGTTGTGTTTATCTCAGCATCCCATTGTCATCTCCAAAATTAAATAATTGTGAAGGATCTAAGATTTCATCCTATTTGTAAACAAACCTATTAACCTTCCATTTCCATGGATGCTGGTAGAAGGCATGAGACACTGAAGTATGAAAAAAATACCTACTATTTACTGTCTACCTGGAGGCAAAAGCCTCATATTTGTATTAGTTCTCCTTGTCCATACTACATTTTTTAGAGGGATTTCAAAAGGCTCAGATGGACATTGCACATGGGGAAGATTTGTGTCACAGCTGAGCAGGCTCAAGACTAAGAAACCTTAATCTTCTTAAAGTAGGTTACATGCAAACCTGTCCAAACTTTGCCTCACAGAGAAAAATTGTCTTTATTATATTGATTGAGTAATTTATCTGCCATTCACCTGAAGAGAAAAACTACTACCCTTTTTCCAGGTTATTTGTATACAAAAATCTTTGAAAAATAGCCTGGAACAGGACAGGTGTGTGAGGTAAGACATAACAAAACAACAAACTCTAAGATACTTTTGGAGAACTACATCTCAGTAGCATGCATCTTTTCCATAAAATGTTGCACTAAACAATCCTGTGATGAAAAACATCCATTGAAGATTTTTGACATGAAAACTAACTTTTGTTGTTTTGTGTTGTGGGATTGTTCAAGTGATTATCCTGTGTCAGCCTCCAAAGTAGCTGGAGGACAGGCTCCCACGGCCACACTCAGTTTATTTTTCTATTTTTAGTAGAGGCAGGGTTTTACCATGTTGGTCAGGCTGGTCTCGAACTCCTGATCTCAGGTAGTCGGCCTGCCTTGGCCTCACAAAGTGCTAGGAATATAGGCATGAGCCACCATGCCCGGCCCCAGAAATGAAAGTTCTATGTGTGCAGTAATGTAATTCTGACTGATAAATGACAGGTGAGGGTAAGTGAAAATCTAACACAATTCAACATTTTTACATATTTAGACACAGTGTAATTGGTTAGCTTATTGGAAAAAGTTAAATGACTACCAATTTGTACTGCATACTTATTCTGAATGAATTGCTAATCTAGATTTGGAGATGAAATAATTATTTTTACAACACAGAAACATAAAGTGCATTTCCATATACCAACAATGAACAATTTGACAGTAAATTAATAAAACAATTGTTTGCAACAACATTAAAATAATACAATTCTTAGCAATAAATTTAATAAGAAGGTACATATTTTGTACAATAAAAAAACAGGATCAGAATATTTATGAAAAAAACTAAAAAGGACTTAAATAACTAGCAACAAATTCCATATTCCTGTACCGGAAGACTTAATGAAGTTAAGATGAAAATACTACCACCCAAAGTAGTGTACAGATGTACTGTAATCCCAATGTTTAATTTTTCCAACTTTTCTTTTGCAAAAACAAAATAATTCATTTAAAACTTCATATGAAATTTGAAAATCCTCTGAACGTACAGAATAATCTTGAAAAGAAGAACAAAATTAGATATTTCACAATTTTAAATTTGAAAACATACAAAGCTACTATAACAGTTTGCTAGTGGCATAAGAACAATTGTAGATATCAAATAAATAAAATAGATAATCCAAAAAACCCTTGCATAAATTATTGATTGTCTTTTGACAAGGGTGCCTTAATCATTATGTAAAGAAAAGGACAGTTTGTTCCACAATAAATGCTGGGAAAACAAGTCCACATTTAAACCAGTAAAGTTGAATCTTTATCACATTCCAAGTACAAAAATTAAATAAAAATAGATTAAAGACATAAGTGTTCAACTTTAGTGGTTTCTAATGGTTGTTTTTATTTATGTGGGGTCAGTACTAACATGAACACCTTTATACACACAAACTAGAAAACCTTAAAGAAATAGATACATTACTAGATATACACAATCTCCCAAGATTAAGCCAGGAAGACAATTATTTCCTGAATGGACCAATAAAAAGCTCTGATATTATATAGGTAATAAGTAGCTTGCCAATAAAAAAAATAAAAGCCCTGGACTTTATGGATTTACAGCCAAATTCTACCAAATGTACAAAGAAGAGCTGGTACAATTCCTACAGAAACTATCCCCAAAAATTGAGGAGGACGGTCTCCTCCTCAACTCATTCTATGAGGACAGCATGATCTTGACACCAAAACCTGGCAGAGACACAACAAAAACACAAAATTAGCCGGGCTTGGTAGCAGACAACTGTAGTCCCAGCTACTTGGGAGGCTGAGGCAGGAGAATGGCATGAACCCAGGAGGTGGAGCTTGCATTAAGCAGAGATTGCGCCAGTGCACTCCAGCCTGGGCAACAGAGGGAGACTCTGTCAAAAAAAAAAAAAAAGAAAGAAAGAAAGAAAAGAAAGAAAGAAAGAAAGAAAGAAAGAAAGAAAGAAAGAAAGAAAGAAAGAAAAGAAAACTTCAGGCCAATATTCTTGGCAAACATCAATACAAAAGTTCTCAGAAAAATATTTGTAAACCAAATCCAGCAGCGCATCAAACAGGTAATCCGTCATTATCAAGTAGGCTGCCTTCTTAGGATGCAAGGTTGGTCCAGCATGTGCAAATCAATAAATGTAATACATCACATAAACAGAACTAAAAACAAAAAACAAACGATTATCCCAATAGATGCAGAAAATAATAAAAGCCATGTATAACAAACCCACAGCCAACAATCTGTTGAATGGGCAAAAGTTGGGGGCGTTTTTTTTTTGAAAACCAGCACCAGGCAAGAATGCCCTCTCTCACCATTTCTATTCAACATAGTATTGAAAGACCTGACCAGAGCAATCAGGCTAGAGAAAGAAATACAAAAAGCATCCAAATAGGAAGAGAGAAAGCCAAACTATTTCTGTTTGTAGATAACATAATTCTACATCTAGAAAACCCTGTAGTTTCAGCTACAAAGCTTCTTTAGTTAACATACAACTTCAGCGAAGTTTCAAGATACTAAATCAATGTGCAAAGATCACTAACATTTCTCTACACCAATGATAACCACACTGACAGCAAAATCAGAAAGGCCATACCATTCACAATTGCCACAAAAATAATAAAATACCTGGAAATGCAGCTCACCAGGGAGGTGAAAGAGCTCTACAATGAGAATTACAAAACACTGCTCAAAGAAATCAGAGAAGACACAAACAAATGGAAAACCACCCCATGCTCATGGATAGGAAGATCCAATATGACTAAAATGGCTATACTTCACAAAGCAATTGACAGATTTAATGCTATTTCCATCAAACTGCCAATAAAATTTTTTACAGAGCTAGAAAAAACTATTTTAAAATTCCTATAGGCTGGGTGCAGTGGCTCACGCCTGTAATCCCAGCACTCTGGGAGGCCGAGGGGTGCAGATCATGAGGTCAGGAGATCGAGACCATCCTGGCCAACATGGTGAAACTCCTTCTCAACTAAAAATACAAAAAATAGCTGGGCGTAGTGGCAAGCGCTTGTAATCCCAGCTACTCGGGAGGCTGAGGCAGGAGACTCCATTGAACCAGGGAGTCAGAGGTTGCAGTGAGCTGAGATTGCACCACTGCACTCCAGCCTGATGACAGAGTGACATTCCATCAAATATATATATATATATGAAACCAAAAAGGAGCACACATAGCCAAGGCAATCCTAAGCAAAAAAGAACAAAGCTGCAGGCATCAGGTTGCCTGGCTTCAAATTACACTACAGGGCTATAGTAACGAAAACAGCATAATACTGATACAAAAACAGACACATAGACAAATGGAGCAGAATAGAGAGCCCAGAAACAAGGCTGCACATCTATGCCCATGTGATAATTGACAAGGCTGACAAAAACAAGCAATGAGAAAAAGATGATTTATTCAATAAGTGATGCTGAAATAATTGGCTGGCAATATGTGGAAGATTGAAGCTGGACCCCTTATTTACATCATATACAAAAAAAAAAAATCAACTCAAGACTGATTGAAGACTTAAATATAAAATCTTTATGTATAAAAACCATGAAAGACAATCCAGGCAATACCATCCTGGATATAGGAACGGGCAAAGATTTCATGATAGAAAGACCAAAAGCAATAGCAAGAAAAGCAAAAATTAACAAGTAGGATTTAATTAAAGTAAAGAGATTTTGCATAGCAGAAAAAAAACTATTAGAGTAAACAGAAAACCTATGGGGTGGAAAAAATATTTGTAAACTATCCATCTAACAAAGGTCTAATATCTATCATCTATAAGGAACTTAAATTTACAAAAGAAAAACAACCCCATTAAAAAGTGGGCAAAGACATGAACAGACAGTTTTTGAAAGAAGACATACATGAGGCCAATAAGTGTATGAGAAAAAGCTCAGCATCAATGATAGTTAGAGAAGTGAAAATTAAAACCACAATGAAATGCCATCTCACACTAGTCAGAATGGCTATAGTCAAACAATAAATGCTGGAGAGGTTGTAGAGAAAAGGGAACTTATACACTGTTGGTGGGAGTGTAAACTAGTTCAACTGCTGTGGAAAGCAGTTTGGCAATTCCTCAAAGAGCTAAAAGCAGAACTACCATTCAATAGTTCTGCTTGCAATCCCATTACTGCGTATATTTCCAGAAAAATAGGAATTATTCTACCATAAAGACACATGCATGCAAATGTTCACTGCAGCCCTATTCACAACAGCAATGACATGGAATCAACCTAAATACTATCAGTAACAGATTAGATAAACAAAATGTGCTACGTATACATTATGGAATACTATGCACCCATAAAAAAGAATGAGATTATGTCCTTTGTGGAAACATAGACGTAACTGGATACTATTGTCCTTAGCAAACTAATACAGGAAGAGAAAACCAAATATCACATGTTCTGACTTATAAGTGGGAGCTAAATGATAAGAATGTATGAACACGAGGAGGAAAACAGTAGACCATGGGGTCTATTTGAAGTAAGAGGGTGGGAGGAGGGAAAGAAGCAGAAAAGATAGCCATTGGGTACTGGGCTTAATACCTGGGTGATGAAATCATCTATACAGCAAACTCCTGTGACATATGTTTACCTGTGTAACAAACCTTCACTCATATACCCGAACCTACTGTAAAAGTTTCAAAAAGTTAAACTTTAAAAACTCTTGGGAAAAAGCTTAAGCAAAAATCTTATAACATTAAATTTTGTGATGGTTTCTTGACTGTAACACCAAAAGCATAGGCCAGAAAATAAAAAACAGATAAATTGGACTTGATTTAAATGTGAAACTTTTCTGATTTTTTGATATGAAAAACACTCTGTTGTTCGTGTTTTTTGATAGAAAAAAAAAACCCACCTCTTCTAAAATTTGATACAAAAAGCATGAACAAGAGAGTGAAAAGACAACCAGCAAATGGGAGAAAAGATTTGCAAAGCATGTAACTGATTGGGTACATAAGGTAAAATATAATAAGCAGGATATATAAAGAACTTCTAAAACTCAACAACAAAACGAAACAACAAAAGCATTTATAAAAGGGCAGAGGACTTGTATAAACATTGGGTCAAAAAGTCTACAGAAAAATGCTCAACCTCACCAGTCATGAGGGATATGGATATCAAAACCACAACAAGTTACCACTTTACATCTATTAGAGTGGCTATATGAAAACCAAAACAACAAAAATGAAAAAGAACAAGTATTGGCCAGGATGTGGGGGAAGTGAAACCCTGGTGCATGGCTGGTGAGAATATAAAATGATTTATTGACTGTGACCAATAGATTGGCAGTTTATCAGAAAGTTCTACATAGAATTACCATATGTTTCACAACAGGTGGAACAGTTCCATATGTTCCAATTACAGGTGTATCCAAAATAATTAAAAACAATGACATAAGCTGCAAACTCTGCCTCTGTGTATTAAGTGATCCTTGTGCCTCAGTCTCCCGAATAGCTGGGACTACAAACATGCACCACAATGCCCAGCTAATTTTTGAATTTTTAGTAGAGATGGGGTTTTGCCATGATTCTATGGCTGGTCTCGAACTCCTGAGCTTAAGTGATCTGCCTGCCTCAGCCTCCCAAAGATTTGGGATTACAGGTGTAAGCCACCATGCCTGGACTCCGTTATTCAATCTAAGAACTGCATGCAGAAATGTGTTCAGATTTTAAAATTTTATTCACTTATGCACTGATACTTTCAAACCAAATTTTATAGCAGCATCATTTACAGTAAAAAATTTAAAAAGAAATCCAGATATCTTCTAAGAGTCAAACTGACAAAGAAAATATGGTATATACACACAACAGAATATTATTTATCCTTAAAATGAATGTTGGGGGGAGGAGCCAAGAAGGCCGAATAGGAACAGCTCCGCTCTACAGCTCCCAGTGTGAGTGACACAGAAGACGGGTGATTTCTGCATTTCCAACTGAGGTACCGGGTTCATCTCACTGGGGAGTGCCAGACAGTAGGTGCAGGACAGTGGGTGCAGCACCCCGTGCATGAGCCGAAGCAGGGCAAGGAATTGCCTCACCCGTGAAGTGCAAGGGGTCAGGGAATTCCCTTTCCTAGTAAAGAAAGTGGTGACAGATGGCATCTGGAAAATCGGGTCACTCCACCCTAACACTGCGCTTTTCCAACGGGCTTAAAAAATGTCACACCAGGAGATTATATCCTGCACCTGGCTCAGAGAGTCCTACGTCCACGGAGCCTCACTCATTGCTAGCACGTCAGTCGAAGATCAAACTGCAAGGTGGCAGCGAGGCTGGGGGTGGGACACCCGCCATTGCTAAGGCATGAGTAGGTAAACAAAGTAGCCAGGAAGCGGGAACTGGGTGGAGCCCACCACAGCTCAAGGAGGCCTGCCTGCCCCTGTAGGCTCCACCTCTGGGGGCAGGGCACAGACAAACAAAAAGACAGCAGTAACCTCTGCAGACTTAAATATCCCTCTCTGACAGCTTTGAAGAGGGTAGTGGTTCTCCCAGCTCGCAGCTTGTGATCTGAGAATGGACAGACTACCTCCTCAAGTGGGTCCCTGACTCCTGAGTAGCCTAACTGGGAGGCACCCCCCAGTAGGGTTGGACTGAAACCTCACACAGCCTGGTACTCTTCTGAAACAAAACTTCCAGAGGAACGATCAGGCAGCAGCATCTGCGGTTCACCAATATCCACTGTTCTGCAGTCACCACTGCTGATATGCAGGCAAACAGGGTCTGGAATGGACCTCTAGTAAACTCCAACAGACCTGCAGCTGAGGGTCCTGATTTTAGAGGGAAAACTAACAAACAGAAAGGACATCCACACCAAAAACCCTTCCGTAAATCACCATCATTAAAGCCCACGTTAGATAAAACCAAAAAGATGGGAAACAAGTAGAGCAGAAAAACTGGAAACTCTAAAATTCAGAGCACCTCTCCTCCTCCAAATGAACAAAACTCCTCACCAGCAACGGAACAAAGCTGGATGGAGAATGACTTCGATGAGTTGAGAGAATAAGGCTTCAGATGATCAAACTAATCTGAGCTATAGGAGGAGATTCGAACCAATGGCAAAGAAGATAAAAACTTTGAAAAAAAATAGATGAATGGATCACTAGAATAACCAATGCAGAGAAGTCCTTAAAGGACCTGATGGAGCTGAAAACCAAGGCACAAGAACTACGTGATGAATGCAGAAGCCTCAGTAGCCAATGTGATCAACTGGAAGAAAGGGTATCAGTGATGGAAGACGAAAGGAATGAAATGAAGCGAGAAGAGAAGTTTAGCAAAAAAGAATAAAAAGAAATGAACAAAGCCAACAAGAAATATGGGACTACGTGAAAAGACCAAATCTACGTCTGATTGGTGTACCTGAAAGTGACGGGTTGAATGGAACCAAATTGAAAAACACTCTGCAGGATATTATCCAGGAGAACTTCCCCAATCTAGCAAGGCAGGCCAACATTCAAATTCAGAAAATACATAGAAGGCAACAAAGGTACTCCTAGAGAATAGCAAATCCAAGGCACATAACTGTCAGATTCACCAAAGTTGAAATGAATGAAAAAATGTTAAGGGCAGCCTGAGAGAAAAGTTGGGTGACCCACAAAGGGAAGCCCATCAGACTACAGCTGGGGGCCAATATTCAACATTCTTAAAGAAAATAATTTTCAACCCAGAATTTCATATCCAGCCAAACTAAGCTTCATAAATGAAGTAGAAATAAAATACTTTACAGACAGACAAATGCTGAGAGATTTTGTCTCCAACAGGCCTGCCCTAAAAGACTCCTTAAGCCGGTTTTTTGAAAGGATCAAAAAAATGATAGACCACTAGCAAGACTAATAAAGAAAAAAAGAGAAGAATCAAATAGACACAATAAACAATGATAAAGGGGATATCACCACCAATCCCATAGAAATACAAACTACTATCAGAGACTACTACAAACAACTCTGTGCAAATAAACTAGAAAATCTAGAAGAAATGGATAAATTCGTTGACACATACACTCTCCCAAGACTAAACCAGGAAGAAGTTGAATCTCTGAATAGACCAAAAACAGGGGCTAAAGTTGTGGCAATAATCAATAGCTTACCAACTAAAAGGAGTCCAGGACCAGATGGATTCACAGCCGAATTCTACCGGAGGTACAAGGAGGAACTGGTACCATTCTTTCTGAAACTATTCCAATCAATAGAAAATGAGTGAATCCTCCCTAACTCATTTTATGAGGCCAGCATCATCCTGATACCAAGGCCTGCCAGAGACACAACTAAAAAAGAGAATTTTAAACTAATATACTCGATGAACATTGACGCAAAAATCCTCAATAACATACTGACAAACCGAATCAAGCAGCATATAAAAAAGCTTATCCACCATGATCAAGTGGGCTTCATCCCTGGGATGCAAGGCTGGTTCAATATACGCAAATCAATAAATGTAATCCAGCATAGAAACAGAACCAAAGACAAAAACCACATGATTATCTCAATAGATGCAGAAAGGGCGTTTGACAAAATTCAACGACACTTCATACTAAAAACTCTCAATAAATTAGGTATTGATGGGACGTATCTGAAAATAATAAGAGCTATCTAGGCCAAACCCACAGCCAATATCACACTGAATGGGCAAAAACTGGAAGCATTCCCTTTGAAAACTGGCACAAGACAGGGATGCCCTCTCTCACCACTCCTATTAAACATAGTGTTGGAAGTTCTGGCAAGGGCAATCAGGCAGGAAAAGGAAATAAACGGTATTCAAATAGGAAAAGAGGAAGTCAAATTCTCCCTGTTTGCAGACAACATGATTGTATATCTAGAAAACCCCATTGTCTCAGCCCAAAGTCTCCTTAAGCTGATAAGCAAATTAAGCAATGTCTCAGGATACAAAATCAATGTACAAAAATCACAAGCATTCTTATACACCAATAACAGACAAACAGAGAGGCAAATCATGAGGGAACTCCCATTCAAAATTACTTCAAAGAGAATAAAATACCTAGGAATCCAACTTACAAGGGATGTGAAGGAACTCTTCAAGGAGAAATACAAACCACTGCTCAATGAAATAAAAGAGGATACAAACAAATGGAAGAACATTCCATGCTCATGGGTAGGAAGAATCAATATCGTGAAAATGGCCATACTGACCAAGGTAACTGATAGATGCAATGCCATCCCCATCAAGCTACCAATGACCTTCTTCACAGAATTGGAAAAAACTACTTTAAAGTTCATATGGAACCAAAAAAGAGCCGGCATCACCAAGTCAATCCTAAGCCAAAAGAACAAAGCTGGAGGCATCACACTAACTGACTTCAAACTATACTACAAGGCTACAGTAACCAAAACAGCATAGTACTGGTACCAAAACAGAGATATAAACCAATGGAACAGAACAGAGCCCTCAGAAATAACGCCGCATATCTACAACTATCTGATCTTTGACAAACCGGAGAAAAACAAGAAATGGGGAAAGGATTCCCTATTTAATAAATGGTGCTGGGAAAACTGGCTAGCCATATGTAGAAAGCTGAAATTGGATCCCTTCTTTACACCTTATACAAAAATCAATTCAGGATGGATTAAAGACTTGAACGTTAGACCTAAAACCATAAAACCCTAGAAGAAAACCTAGGCATTACCATTCAGGACATTGGGATGGGCAAGGACTTCATGTCTAAAACACCAAAAGCAATGGCAACAAAAGACAAAATTGACAAATGGGATCTAATTAAACTAAAGAGCTTCTGCACAGCAAAAGAAACTACTGTCAGAGTGAACAGGCAACCTACAAAATGGGAGAAAATTTTCACAACCTACTCATCTGACAAAGGGCTAATATCCAGAATCTACAATGAACTCAAACAAATCGACAAGAAAAAAACAAACAACCCCATCAAAAAGTGGGCAAAGGACATGAACAGACACTTCTAAAAAAAGAAGACATTTATGCAGCCAAAAAACACATGAAAAAATGCTCACCTTCACTGGCCATCAGAGAAATGCAAATCAAAACCACAATGAGATACCATCTCACACCAGTTAGAATGGCAATCATTAAAAAGTCAGGAAACAACAGGTGCTGGAGTGGATGTGGAGAAATAGGAACACTTTTACACTGTTGGTGGGACTGTAAACTAGTTCAACAATTGTGGAAGTCAGTGTGGTGATTCCTCAGGGATCTAGAACAAGAAATACCATTTGACCCAGCCATCTGATTATTGGGTATATACCCAAAGGACTATAAATCATGCTGCTATAAAGACACATGTACACGTATGTTTATTGTGGCATTATTCACAATAGCAAAGACTTGGAACCAACGCAAATGTCCAACAATGATAGACTGGATTAAGAAAATGTGGCACATATACACCATGGAAAACTATGCAGCCATAAAAAATGATGAGTTCATGTCCTTTGTAGGGACATGGATGAAATTGGAAATCATCATTCTCAGTAAACTATCACAAGAACAAAAAACCAAACACCGCATATTCTCATTCATAGGTGGGAATTGAACAATGAGAACACATGGACACAGGAAGGGGAACATCACACTCTGGGGACTGTTGTGGGGTTGGGGGGATGGGGGAGGGATAGCATTCGGAGATATATCTAATGCTAGATGACGACTTAGTGGGTGCAGCGCACCAGCATGGCACATGTATACATATGTAACTAACCTGCACATCGTGCACATGTACCCTAAAACTTAAAGTATAATAATAATAAAAAGTTAAAGAAACAAAAACAAAGATGAGAAATAATCTGTAGTTATATTACCTAAGTTTACAGTGAGTTTTATTTTTTGCTCTGCTTGCTAAGTATTAGGATAATGCAAGTGTATACTATTCAGTTTAAATAGATAAAGAATTTTTTAATCACAGCTTCAATGGATGAATGTTCTTTTTGTTCATCTGAGTAACTAAAAATAATATTGCTAGTGTAAAATCACTCCCATATTGCTTTGATTTGTAAGGTCAACCTCGTTTAAATAAAAAGAAAAACAATATTAATAAGAAAAGAGCTCCTTAAAGAAGCACTAACCATGGACAGGAACAACTGGTACCAGCCACTGCAAAAACATGCCAAATTGTAAAGAACATCGAGGCTACAAAGAAACTGCATCAACTAACGAGCAAAATTGCCAGCTGACATCTTAATGACAGGATCAAATTCACACATAACTATATTAACCTTAAATGTAAATGGGCTAAATGCTCCAATTAAAAGGCACACACTGGAAAATTGGATAAAGAGTCCAGACTCATCAGTGTGCTGTATTCAGGAAACCCATCTCATGTGCAGAGACACACACAGGCTCAAAATAAAGGGATGGAGGAAGATCGACCAAGCAAATGGAAAACAAAAAAAGGCAGGGGTTGCAATCCTAGTCTCTCATAAAACAGACTTTAAACCAACAAAGATCAAAAGAGACAAAGAAGGCCATTACATAATGGTAAAGGATCAGTTCAACAAGAAGAGCTAACTATCCTAAATATATATGCACCCAATACAGGAGCACCCAGATTCATAAAGCAAGTCCTTAATGACATACAAAGGGACTTAGACTCCCACACAATAATAATGGGAGATTTTAATACCCCACTGTCAACATTAGACAGATCAATGAGACAGAAAGTTAACAAGGATACCCAGGAATTGAAGTCAGCTCTGCACCAAGCAGACCTAATAGACATCTACAAAACTCTCCACCTCAAATCAACAGAATATACATTCTTTTCAGCACCACACCACATCAATTACAAAATTGACCACATAGTTGGAATTAAGCATTCCTCAGCAAATGTAAAAGAACAGAAATTATAACAAACTGTCTCTCAGACCACCATGCAATCAAGCCAGAACTCAGGAATAAGAAACTCACTCAAAACCACTCAACTACCTAGAAGCTGAACAACATGCTCCTGAATGATTACTGGGTACATAACGAAATGAGAGCAGAAATAAAGATGTTCTTTTAAACCAACGAGAACAAAGACACAACATACTAGCATCTCTGGGACACATTCAAAGCAGTGTGTAGAGGGAAATTTATAGCACTAAATGCCCACAAGAGAAAGCAGGAAAGATCAAAAATTGACACCCTAACATCACAATTAAAAGAACTAGAAAATCAAGAGCAAACACATTCAAAAGCTAGCAGAAGGCAAGAAATAACTAAGATCAGAGCAGAACTGAAGGAAATAAAAACACAAAAAACCATTCAAAAAATTAATGAATCCAGAAGCTGGTTTTTTGAAAAGATCAATAAAATTGATAGACCACTAGCAAGACTAATAAAGAAGAAAAGAGAGAAGAATCAAATAGATGCAATAAAAAATGATAAGGGGATATCGCCCGTGATCCCACAGAAATACAAACTACCATCAGAGAATATTTTAAACAGCCCTACACAAATAAACTAGAAAATCTAGAAGAAATGGATAAATTCTTCGACACATACATCCTCCCAAGACTAAACCAGGAAGAAGTTGAATCTCTGAATAGAACAATAACAGGATCTGAAATTGAGGTGATAATCAATAGCTTACCAACCAAAAAGTCCAGGACCAGATGGATTCAAAGCCAAATTCTACCAGAGGTACAAGGAGGAGCTAGTACCATTCCTTCTGAAACTATTCCAATCAATAGAAAAAGAGTGAATCCTCCCTAACTCATTTTATGAGGCCAGCATCATCCTGATACCAAAGCATGGCAGAGACACAACCAAAAAAGAGAATTTTAGACCAATATCCTTGATGAACATTGATGCAAAAATCCTCAATAAAATACTGGCAAACCAAATCCAGCAGCATATCAAAAAGCTTATCCATCACGATCAAGTGGGCTTCATCTCTGGGATGCAACGCTGGTTCAACATATGCAAATCAATAAATGTAATCCAGCATAGAAACAGAACCAAAGACAAAAACCACATGATTATCTCAATAGATGCAGAAAAGGCCTTTGACAAAATTCAACAACATTTCATGCTAAAAACTGTCAATAAATTAGGTATTGATGGGATGTATCTGAAAATAATAAAAGCTATCTATGACAAACCCACAGCCAATATCATACTGAATAGGCAAAAACTGGAAGCATTCCCTTTAAAAACTGGCACAAGACAGGGATACCCTCTCTCACCACTCCTATTAAACATAGTGTTGGAAGTTCTGGCAAGGGCAATCAGGCAGGAAAAGGAAATAAAGGGTATTCAATTAGGAAAAGAGGAAGTCAAATTGTCCCTGTTTGCAGACAACATGATTATATATCTAGAAAACCCCATCGTCTCAGCCTAAAATCTGCTTAAGCTGATAAGCAACTTCAGCAAAGTCTCAGCATACAAAATCAATGTACAAAAATCACAAGCATTCTTATACACCAATAACAGACAGAGAGCCACATCATGAGTGAACTCCCATTCACAATTGCTTCAAAGAGAATAAAATACCTAGGAATCCAACTTACAAGGGATGTGAAGGAACTCTTCAAGGAGAAACACAAACCACTGCTCAATGAAATAAAAGAGGATACAAACAAATGGAAGAACATTCCATGCTCATGGGTAGTAATATGGAAGAATCAATATCATGAAAATGGCCATACTGCCCAAGGTAATTTATAGATTCAATGCCATCCCCATCAAGCTACTAATGACTTTCTTCACAGAATTGAAAAAATACTACTTTAAAGTTCATTTGGAACCAAAAAAGAGCTGGCATTGCCAAGTCAATCCTAAGCCAAAAGAACAAAGCTGGAGGCATCACACTACCTGACTTCAAACTCTACTACTAGGCTACAGTACCCAGTAATCAAAGCAGCATGGTACTGGTACCAAAACAGAGATGTAGACCAATGGAACAGAACAGAGCCCTCAGAAATAATGATGCATATCTACAACTATCTGATCTTTGACAAACCTGAGAAAAACAAGCAATGGAGAAAGGATTCCCTATTTAATAAATGGTGCTGGGAAAACTGGCTAGCCATATGTAGAAACCTGAAACTGGATCTCTTCCTTACACCTTATACAAAAATCAATTCAAGATGGATTAAAGACTTACATATTTGACCTAAAACCATAAAAAACCTAGAAGAAAACCTAGGCAATACCATTCAGGACATAGGCATGAGCAAGAACTTCATGTCTAAAACACCAAAAGCAATGGCAACAAAAGCCAAAATTGACAAATGGGATCTAATTAAACTAAAGAGCTTCTGCACAGCAAAAGAAACTACCATCAGAGTGAACAGGCAACCTGCAGAATGGGAGAAAATTTTTGTAACCTACTCATCTGACAAAGGGCTAATATCCAGAATCTGCAATGAACTCAAGCAAATCGACAAGAAAAAAACAAACAACCCCATCAAAAAGTGGGTGAAGGATATGAACAGACACTTCTCAAAAGAAGACATTTATGCAGCCAAAAAACACATGAAAAAATGCTCATCATCACTGGCCATCAGAGAAATGCAAATGAAAACCACAATGAGATACCATCTCACACCAGTTAGAATGGCAATCATTAAAAAGTCAGGAAACAACAGGTGCTGGAGAGGATGTGGAGAAATAGGAACACTTTTACACTGTTGGTGGGACTGTAAACTAGTTCAACCATTGTAGAAGTCACTGTGGCGAATTCTCAAGGATCTAGAACTAGAAATACCATTTGACCCAGCCATCCCATTACTGGGTATATACACAAAGGATTATAAATCATGCTGCTATAAAGACACATGCACACTTATGTTTATTGCAACACTATTCACAATAGCAAAGACTTGGATCCAACCTGAATGTCCAACAATGATAGACTGGATTAAGAAAATGTGGCACATATACACCATGGAATACTATGCAGCCATAAAAAATGAAGGGTTCATGTCCTTTGTAGGGACATGGATGAAACTGGAAACCATCATTCTCAGCAAACTAGCGCAAGGACAAAAAACCAAACACCGCATGTTCTCACTCATAGGTGGGAATTGAACAATGAGAACACATGGACACAGGAAGGGAACATCACACACCATGGACTGTTGTGGGTTGGGGGAAGAGGGCTGGGATAGCATTAGGAGATATACCTAATGCTAAATGACGAGTTAATGGGTGCAGCACACCAACATGGCATGTGTGTACGTATGTAACAAACCTGCATGTTGTGTACATGTACCCTAAAACTTAAAGTATAATAATAATAAAATAAAATAAAAATAAAAAAGAGAGGAAGTAAGCCATGCTGATTCCTGATGAGAAAGCATTCCAAGAAAAGGGGACCACACATGCAAAGGCCCTGAGGCAGAAGCACAACTTCCTGGTGTCTTTGAAGATTGCAAAATAGAGGGGAGACTGACTGGCCTAGACATCAGAGAAGTGTCAGGGGACAATATGGTTTAAAACATTCCTAGCCATGGAAGGTTTTAAGGAGATGAAAACATTATTTGCCTTATGCTTTGAAAAGACTTACTCTGGATCACCTGAGGTCAGGAGTTCGAGACCTGCCTGGCCAACATGGCAAAACCCCATCTCTATTAAAAACACAAAAATTAGCCAGGCTTGGTGGTGCATGCCTGTAGTCCCAGCTACTTGGGAGGCTGAGGCAGGAGAATCACTTGAACCCAGGAGTTAGAAGTTGTAGTGAACCCAGATTGCACCACTGCACTCCAGCCTGGGTGACAGAGGAGACTCTGTCTCAAAAAAAAAAAATAAATAAAGACTTACTCTGGTTGCTCAGTGAAGAACAAAGTACAGGGAGAAAGAAAAAGTGGGAGAGGAGTTAGGAGGCTATTTTCATAATCCATGAAAGCAATAACTTAAAGTGAAGCAGGTTGTACACAATGGGTGTGGCAAGGGAAGCTCAGATTCTTAATGCAGTTCAACAGTGTATGCTGATATGAGGTGTAAGAAACAAAGAGGGGTCAGGACAAGTTTTCTGGCCTAACGGCCGGTACGCTGGAGGTGCTATTTACTGAGTCGGAGAAGACTGAGGAGTGTTGGGCCCAGGGGTTGAAGGTGGAGGATCAAGAATTCCCTTATGGATGTGTGATAGTTGAGTTGTCTATTAGTCTTCCAAGTGGTGATAATCGGCAGATAATTAGATATGAGTCTAAATTTTAGAGGAGAGGTAGGAGGTGGAAATATGTGTTCATGGACCATGCACATATACATGGAATTTAATGCCATTGGGCTTCATGAGATCACAGAGGCATGAGTGCACCAAGAAAAAAGGTTGAGAATGGTTAAAAGGTAAATGTTCCTTCTACATTTTGAATTTATAGTAATAATGACACAGTAGCCAGTTGCTGAAACACTACCCAGTCCAGAGTAAAACAAACTTCCTATTTTATCAAATCATTGAATGCCATTTAAAATTCAGAATACTTGCAGAGATCCCAAATATCTTAATAAAGATGAAAGCCTAAGTTCACATTGGTGGCCTAGACTCTGCCTTCCCTGATCGTCTATTTAAAAATAACAATAATGATAATAATAAGAAGAAATATTCATGGATCACTAGATATGTTGAAATACACTCAAAGGTAGATTCATTTCTTTTCGACTATACCCTTGTAACTATCAGTCTATAAAATAGCTTTATTAGAAAGGCACAGTCACCCTCAAGCCAATAGCAGCTTATAAATACAGGGCAAGGAGCCTGGTGTGGGGAGGCTGAGAAATAATTGAGAGAACCAGTAGATATGAAGCTAATAAATAACACTGTCGACCAGAATGAGGCAGATAAGCCAGAGGCAGTGCAAATGGCCGGTCAAGACAGGTAGACAGACAGAAGCCAGGAGTGAGAGACGGGATGTCCAAAGTGCAATAAAACACTCAAGAACCAGTGAATCCATGGGAGCTTACAGCAAGGGGGTGGATGAAGGAAGGAGCATCCAGGTAGAGGGGAAGGAATGGAGGTGTGAACCGGAGGCAGGAGAGCACAAGCTATTTGATATGTTTGGAGAGCGAGGTGCTTTTTTGAGGCTGAGAAAATAACTGGAAGCCAGAATCTGGAGGACTGGGTAGACAATGTTAAACAGCAAGCACTTGATTCTGCACGTGTTGGAAGCCAGTGCGGGGCTTCTAAGCAAGGCAGTGACATGATCACATCACATTTTAGGAAGGGTACAAATTAGGCATGACCACAGGCAGGAAGACCCGAGAGATCTCTTACAGTCAGGGATAAGAGTCTAAACGACAAGATGGCCATGAACATTCAAAGAAAGAAGACCGAAGAGACTTTAGAGGGCAGGCCCCACGGGACCTGAGTGAAGGGGTTTGGGAGACACAGCTTTCTGCTGTGAAGTCAAGGATATCACAAACTATCCGAATGAAAGAAACAGTCCTAGGGCTAGGGGTAGGTGGATGAATGTGGTTCCATTTTGAACAAGAGGAGAAAATTCAGGTAATTCATTTTGATTGATCACGCAAAATAATTTGCAGCTGAACATTATAGAAGCAACAAAAATTCTTATGATATTGGGGTATAGGAAACAGGCTCAAGAAAGCACAGTATTTCCTGTTTCTTTTCAGATTCAATAAATAATATTTTCTGCTAAGGTTTTTGATAACTGTTGTTTTAATTAATCAAAAGGAGACAAGATAAATTTGAACTTAAAAGCATAAGAAAATCAGTTGTCTTTTTAGAAAAGGTGAGTCAGTATTTCCTATGGTCTTAAATCATCCTTCAAATAATGGTCCATGAAACAAATGAGATCCTACTTATCTAGCCTTTTCCTTGATAGATTAAAAACTGTACCAAAATCTTACTATATTGCAAAGACACTAGTTCACTCAATTGAGAATCCTCAGTATACAAACACATAAATCAAGGGAACTTTAAAACCAATCATTGTGTTCAAAATGGGAAGATTATTCCAATTTTTTTCTACATATTTTAGAATAATTTCACAGTTAAACACCCTGTAGCTTATAAAATCATTATCCAGTATTTAATAAAGTATATCTATAACAATATCAACATTGGAATTTAAGAGTTTACAAAGCACTTTTGATACATCACATTTAAATGAAGGCGGCAACAAGTTCAGTACATTCATGCAGATTAGAAAACAGTTTTTGAAGACTGTATTTGTTCATTTAAGTCAGAAGGTTTGAACTATTTCCTACCCCTGCTATGGGTTTAAGCCTAAGAAATGTTATTCATCATGATTTGGTCTTTAAATAAATCACGAAAGTAGAGGGTAGAGCACACCCCATGAATGCACTGAGGTGCCGTAAGGCTCCAACACCAGAGGCGGCAGGTTGGAATTTAGTTCAATCACGAATTTGTTATGAGAACTCTGACAAGCTTCAGCTCTAAAGTAAGCTTGGAAACACAAAGAAACTCTGCGAAAAATACTGAACACAGACACACACACACACACACACACACACACACACACTCCTCTCTTTTAAGACTGGCATAGAAGATGTAAGTGTACCAACAAGCAACCTCCAAAGAGCAAATGAAACAGAAAATTCAAACGAGTGCCTGGTAGGAGTTGTAACTTCAACAAAGTGCCTCTCATATCTGCCTCATAAACCCGTACTCATTTTTCACAACTAACTCACATAGCACCTCCTCAGTGACACCTTTTCTGTTCTGCCTACCAGATATATCTGCAGACCTAGTGTATCCTCTCGCCCAGAACACAGGGCATCTTATACAGGGGGCTCTATCTACAGGGAGCTCTATGCTTTGACAGGAACTGTGAACCTATGGGCAGCAGTTTTTCAATTCATGTTTGTGGCTCTCATTACAAATGTCCTGCCTCAGGCACCCAGCAGGTGGTAATAAATGCTGGTTGAACACTAAAACTTTGGAATGCTACATCATTATTCTAAAGGATAGTCATTTTTTTAAAACATTTTGGAAGTTCTTTTGAAACGGACTTTTTAGATTATGAAAATATCTCAGTGATAGGTTTTGATTTTCCAAGTTAGACCTTATTTTATTTTAGAAACCGTCAAAGTTATACAAAACCAAGCATGTGTCTCTGTGCATTTTGTATTCTCTCCTCCCTTAATGGTAAGGAAGGGTTTCAACTCTTTTATAGGCCAAATGCTCCACAAATGAATGTGTTAACGAATGAACAAATTAATAAATGACATGAATGAGAGCTCAAACTGCATAAAAGTATACTTACTTAAAAATGAGATGTGACGATTGCTAACATGTCATAATCAGACTCTGTCCTGACTTCGGCAAGCCACAACTTTGACAATAAAGAGGAAAGAGGATCAAGTCCCTAAATACCGCAGGTGCACTAAGACCTTTCCACGTGCCCGAAGAAGATACACTTGCAGAGGAGAAATGATGATACAGAGGCCTGCTCCGAGATGCAGGAGGAAGTTTAATTGCCTGTGAATTTGACTGGAATGGCAGTCAAACGAGGTTTGAAAGGAAATAGAGATTGTTAAACTCCTGACTAGGCGATAACTGCCGTCCTTCTCTTCTATCTGTCTCTGTTACTAGGAAATAACTGCCCTCCTTCTCTTCTATCTGCCCCTGTGACTAGGCGATAACTGCCGTCCTTCTCTTCTATCTGCCCCTGTGACTAGGCGATAACTGCCCTCCTTCTCTTCTATCTGTCCCTGTGATTAGGCGATAACTGCCCTCCTTCTCTTCTATCTGCCCCTACCTTGGGCCCCAAATGACTCAGCACTAAAGTGCCTTGAGCAGGCTCCAGCCCAAAAGTGGCCTCCACGGGCAGTACTTCCCACTCTGCTGCACTGCCTTGCTTTCCTCCTGGCGGGGAAGAAAGAAGGAAGGAAAGAAGACCCAGAGCTGGAATCATACACATCATCGCAATTCATCCACACCGCAGTCCTGTAAGGTATGTGCCATTGTACTCAGAAAACTGAGGCTCAAAGAGATTGAGCAACTTATCTAAGACCTCACAGGTCCTGAGAGCAGAGTCTGGATTTCAAACACCTGGGAGACTCTGAAATCCATGTTAGCTCTTCTATACATGGGCCCAAAATGCAGCTGTACACCAGCAAGACTGAATTCCTCTTGTGGCTTATCACTAGCTCTGAATACAAGAATCTTCAAAATGCTTTATAAACAATAGTAGCGTCATGGGAATAAGTTGACAAGTTCCCAGAATTACTGTTTTAGATGCACTTGAACTTTTTCTCCATGTATAGAGTCAGGAATAAGGAAAAAGGATCCAAAGGAGAAGGAGAAAAATAAAACGGGACTGAGCCTTATACTTCTTGACCAGAACAGATAATGTTGGGATTTTCCTTACTTTTTTTCCAGACAAATCCAATAAAGACATCTGTTTCTGTTACCTAAAACCAACTTGAAAAGTTTGCTCCCTCCCACCCTAAGCGGCTTTGTATAGAGCCCACAGTTGAACATTGGTTCCAACGGCAAAGGTTAATTTCAAAGTTTTTATAATATTATTCAAAGCACGTTTGATTTCAGCCTTGGCAACCATGGGCAGAATGTCAGCAATGCTCCCTCTATTAAGTATTGGAGAGAAAACACTGCGAAACTCTAAGACCTTGGTTATTGGGCCAATGAAACATTTATGCCCTGATCAGATGGAGCAAAACTTCGGCAGGGTTAGTGAGCCACCTTCCGAGTGTACCAGTGAAGCTCTTGCCTGCTGTTACAGATAAATGACTTTCGTTTCACTATTGGCTTGTGCTTGAGAAGGTTATTCAATTGATTCCAGTTGTTTGCAATGCCTTGAAGACAAATAATTTTGTAGCATCCACTGTCCTCATAATACACTGTTTCTTTTCTAAGGAAGGTTGTTGTCATAATACCCTAGATATCAACAGAAAATATTCCACTTCTTATCATATATTAATTTTGCTCTGGAATAAGTACATGTAACTACCAGAATGCTAATGAGGATGTTACGCTGATGTTTATTTGTGTGTTCTAATCTGTAGATAAACAGCAAGGTCTCTTATAATTCATGATTCCAAGTCTCAGGCCACAGCAGGACAAGTATCAAAACATCTATTCTCAATTCGGAGTTGAGATTTCTAATAAGAATTCTATTTTATCCATATTCATAAAATAGCACCAGGAAAAGTCAATATCTTAAAATACAGATCGTTGAAAAGTAGATCTTTCTGCCCTTAACGTAAACAAACTGTAAAATCTGAAGTTGAAATTATTCCTTGTACCAGCCTCCTAATTTACCCAGAGTTAACAGAAAAGTTATAGCAGTGCATGAAGCTGTGAGGTTTTGATGGGTGTAGATATAGACATCCAATTCTGCCATTTCACACTAGTCAGAATACCAGTCATAGAAATCCCACAGGAAAAATCATTTCTGAAGGTATCTGGTCTTATAGATTATAAAATTAAACTTTCTTATCATTGTACCTAAACCGAAATATGCTTCCTATACAAAGAAGGTTTCTTTCAAGGGTTAAGACCACCACCCGCCATCCCCCTTAACACACACACACACACACACACACACACACACACACAGAGAGAGAGAAAGAGAGAGAGAGAGAGAGAGAATTGAGAGCATTAGTGGTTTTCTCCCTTAGACTGATTTTTTCTTGCTGTTATTTTCAGCCACTTTGTTAACGGTGAGGTTAAAGGGCAGGATAGATGTAACACCCATTTCACATACATGTTGCAACATCAGAGATGCTAGTCTTCATTAAAAATACCAGTTCTAAATTCCTTCTAAAATATATTTTTAAAAATCAGTACACTTGGTACCTTGGAAATGCTGAAATGTTATCATGAATGCTGGTTATTTGTTATGAATCAACTGAATATTATCTTCAATATAAACTATAATTTACTGGTCTGAACACTCTTCCTATCTTACCTGTATATACTCAAAGGTGCAATTTCTCATGTTTAGCAAATTGTTCTTTAGGTAATTTGTTCTTTAGTTTTTTTGTACAAAAGTACAAAATAGTTATCACAGCAAACTTTCCAGTATTTATTATTTTGAAGCTATATATTTTGGAGTGAACTTGGTTTTTTTTTTCCATGTCAGGCTTGAGCAGGATAGCAAATATATAAATTGAGCTCTCTAATTATAATCTCAATATATGAATTCTTGCTAATTAAAATACTTTGCACAAGCAAAAACAATTGCCACGTATGTGTTTAGGAGGTAGTTAAGTAACTCCATATAAAAATAAGTGCACTTACACCTCCTTTCTTCAGTGACTAGAAAACTTCCATACTTTTAAAATAATCAAATAATAATTTAGAGAGCAACAGCCCTCAACTCTTTGCTGGTGCTTATCACACTGCCTTTCTTCACTCCATTCTTAGCTCTGCTAGTTTCTTCTTGTCTGTAATGATAATAAGGGAATGTGGGTGGGTCAGCACTCCTGTGTAGGTCCCCTTTCCAAATTTGCCTTCCAAAAAGCCAACCAAATAAACAACCAAAAAATTGTGCAACAAAACACATATAGCATTCCAACAGCTTGGCAAGTGATGCATTCACCTGAGATTGAGTGGTTTTAGGCGGTCAGTAACAAAATGCTTCTTTGTTGTCTTAGTAGAAAGGCAACAAATTCTTCAAAGAAACCAAGAAGGTTACTACCTTGACAACGTCTCTCATTACCTTCCTCTTCTTATGTCTTTTCTCTCCACATTATCTGTTGTGTATCTACTATAGAAGGCTACAAAACATACAGCAGAAAGGATGGCTTGAAGGCAACTGATGTTTGTAAATAAATTCACAACAAGGTCCAAGCTGAAGAGGTGAACACATCAACCGGGTTGGACAATTCTCAGCATGTGCAAACATAGGCAAATTCTAGCCTATGTTACATTGAAAACAATGTTAGTGCATTTTTTTCATGTTAAAGATTTTTTCAAAGCTAAAGCGTGTTCTTTGCTGTGCTGACCACAGACAACTTTTAAGAGTTTCGGAAGTCTGGCAAAAATAGAAAAAAAAAAAAAAAAAAGCTGAAGCAACATTGAACCGCACAATGTAAGCATTGGGCATGCACAAATTTTCAAAACAAAGGAAGGAAATAATCCCTCTCTACAACGTGGTTAGGCTGATTTTTAAGAAATAAAATGTAAGAAATCAGAAAAGTAAATGTTTGGCACCTACATATCCAATATCTGGCACAGTGCAGAGTAGAAGAGTGAAAGAAATAATGAAGAACAAAGTGGTTACTTTGCTTCAGGAGTTCATGATCTATAGTTAGAAACCAATATAAACATTTTGAGTATATTTCAAAGAAAGAGAAAAGCAGGCCGGGTGTGGTGGCTTGCACCTCTAGTAATAACAGTTTGGGAGGTTGAGGTGGGAAGATTGCTTGAGCTCATGAATTTGATACCAGCCTGAGAAATATAGTAAAACCTCATATCTATAAAAAATTAATTAAAAAAAGGCAGAGCAAAAACAAATATGCAAGAAAACATTAGAAATCAGAGCTCGGGCAAAGAGTTCAACGTGAGCAAAGCAGCTCTGCCCTGGGGGACCTCTGGAGCATCCCGGCTTCCTGTAGAGGCCCAACCACATGGCCCTTTCCCATCACTGGGAACCGTCTTCTGTATCATGCCAGGATTTCCCCCCAAACTTCTCAACCTAATTTATTCAGCCAAAACCTATATATTTCTTGAATCCTTACTAAAAGCAAGGCACTGTTCAACATAATGAAAATATGTCAACGATATAAAACAAAAATGTTTGCCCTCATGCAAATTATATTCCAGTGAGAAAAGACAGATCATTAATAAAATAAATATGTAAAATATATAATATGCCGGAAGGTAATAAGTGGCACAGAGAAAAATTAAGTTTGGAAGAGAGCTCAGGAATGCTGGGAGCAGGTAGATGTGAAGGTAGTTACAATGCTCAAGGAGGGAGTAATAGGCAGAAGAATGGACTTTCTACATGTCCATATCCCTATATGGCAAAAAGGACTTATGGATGTGATGAAGTTATGGATCATGAGATGAGGAGATTATTCTAGATTACCCATGTTGGCCCATTGTCATCACAAGAGGACTTAAAAGCAAAAGAGGGAGGCAGGAGAGTCTGAGGCAAGAAGCGTGATAGCTAGGGTCAGAATGATGTGGTTGCTGCCTGGAAGGGGGCCAGGGGCCAAGGGATGCAGGCATCCTTTCAAAGCTGGAGAAGGTAAGAAAGTGTTCTCTCTCCCCTAGAGAGAGTGTGTGTTCTTTTAGGCTACTAGAGGTGTGCTAATTTATTCCAGCAATCATAGAAAACTTATATAGATAAGGTCTCACTGAGAAGATAACATTTGAACAAAGATTCCAAGGAGGTGAGGGCACCAGCTATGCAGATATCTGGGGAAGAGCACTCGTGGAAGAAAAGGCAGGCAAAGAGCAGGGTGCCTAGCCCATGTGCATGAAGTAGAGAACACTGGGAGTCAGAAGGCTAACAGGAGACAGGTCAGAGAGAGGGACTGGGGTGGGTCAACTCACACTCAGCCTCACTGGCTATTGTAAGAATTTCGAGTTATTCTGAGACACTCAGTATAGGAGAGTCTATGAATATTTATAGAAATTCTGAACGTTTACAAGATGAATAAAAGTTGTATGCTAGCAAACCTATTGGTTGGGTGGGGGAAAGCCCAGATTTGTAGCATTTGCTGATTTACATTGTGTAAATATTTCTACTGATGGTTTGACAAACACTTCATAAAATTTCTGGGTACTTAATTATCAGCTCCAGTAGAACGCTGCATGTATGACACCACATTTGCCAATTCCACACTAGATTCTATTGGGAACAAGCTGTATGAGAGTCAACTGGTGGCAGAAATAAGGAAGTCCTCAATAAAAATCAGCATTTACTTTTGACAGATGTGACATTCTGAAACTTATTTCTCTTTACTCGCTCTGCCTGGTGATTAAATTATGATTTTAAAAGAAATAGTTTTAATTTCTTATTAGAATGCGCCACCAAATAAATAAAATACGTACTTTAACTATATGCAATCTTGTCTATATTATACTGTTGTCAACAGAAACATTATCATGGGCCAACTTCATGAAAGGAGATATGTGATAGAAGATGGAGTTGTTGGAATGGAAAAAAAAAGTCAAATTTTACTTTGGATTAATCAGAGGGAAGAAAGCAAGCAGACAGGAAAGGAAAGGCAAGCTTAGCCAAGTTGAAGAGGCTGAACTCAGGAGGCAGTGGGAGAATAGGATCATAGTTTGAAGAGAGCTGCGAGGCTGTTTACTCCAGGTGAGGATCATAATCCCAGAAGACCCAGTCACAAACACCATAACACTGAATGTTGAAATCCTGAAAGATTAAAATTCCTAAGGTCTAAATTCTCTTTTTTTTATAGAGACAGAGTGAATTGGTTCATTCTCATGCTCCCAATAAAAACATACACGAGCCTGGGTAATTTACAAAAGAAAGAGGTTTAATTGACTCACAGTTCAGCATGGCTGGGAAGGCTTCAGAAAACTTACAATCATGGTGAATGCAAACAAGAAGCAAGGCACCAGGAAGTGCTGAGCAAAAGGGGAAAAGCCGCTTATAAAACCTTCAGGTATCACTCACTGCCATGAGAACAGCACGGGGGTAACCACCCCCATGATTCAATTACCTCCAACTGGGTTCCTCCCATAACATGTAGGGATTATGGAAACTACATTTCAAGGTGAGATTTGGGTGGGGACACAGCCAAACCATATCATTCTGCCCTCAGCCCCTTCCAAATTTCATGTCCTTACATTTTAAAACATGATCATGCCATTCTAACAGTTCCCCAAAGACTTAGCTCATTCCAGCATTAACCCAAATGTCCAAGTCCAAAGTCTTATCTTAGACAAGGCAAGGCCCTTCTGCCTATGAGCCTGTAAAGTCAAAATTAAGTTAGTTACTTCATAGATACAATGAGGATATAGGCATTGGGTAAATACATCTGTTCCAAATGGGAGAAATTGGCCAAAATGAAGGGACTGCACGCCCCATGCAAGTCCAAAATTCAATGGGTCAGTCAAATCTTGAAGCTCTGAAATGATTTCCTTTGACTTCATGTCTCACATCCAGGTCACGCTGAAGCAAGAGGTGGGCTCTCATGGCCTTGGGCAGTTCCACCCCTGTTGCTTTGCAGGGTAGAGCCTTCCTCCTGGCTGCTTTCACAGGATGGTGCTGAGTGTCTGTGGCTTTTCCAGGCAATACAGTGTAAGCTGTCAGTGTATCTACCATTCTGGAGTCTGGAGGATGGTGGCCCTCTTCTCTCAGCTCCACTAGACAGTGCCCCAGTGGGGACTGTGTGGGGGCTCTGACCCCACATTTCCCTTCTGCACTCACTGCCCTAGCAGAGGTTCCCCATGAGGGCTCCGTCCCCGTCACAAATTTGTGCCTGAACACCCAGGCGTTTCCATGCATCCTCTGAAATTTAGGTGTAGATACCCAAACCTCAATTCTTGACTTCTGTGCACCCACAGGCCCAACACCTAATGTAAGCTGCCAAGGCTTGGGCCTTGTACCCTCTGAAGCCATGGCTTGAGCTGTACATTGGCCCTTTAGCCATGATTGGGACACAGGGCACCAAGTCCTGAGACTGCACAGAGCAGCAAGTCCCTGCACCGGGCCCATTAAACCATGTTTTTCCTCCTAGGCCTCCTGGCCTGTGATGGTTTGAGTTGCCGTGAAGGTCTCTGACATGCCGTGAAGACATTTTCCCATTGTCTTGGTGATTAATATTTAGTTCCTCGTTACTTATGCAAATTTCTGCAGCTGGCTTGAATTTCTCTCCAGAAAATGGGTTTTCCTTTTCTATCTCATCATCAAGCTACAAAATTTTTAAAACTTTTATGCTTTGCTTCCTCTTGAACACCTTGCTCCCTAGGAATTTATTCTGCCAGATACCCTAAACCATGTCTCTCAAGTTTAAAGTTCAACAGATTTCTAGGGCAGGGGCAAAATGCCATCAGTCCCTTTGCATAGCAAGAGTCATCTTTACTCCAGTTCCCAACAAGTTCTTCATCTCCATATGAGACCACCTCAGCCTGGACTTCATTGTCCATGTCACTATCAGCATTTTCCTCAAAACCATTCTGCAAGTCTCTAGGAAGTTCCAAACTTCCTCACATTTTTCTCTCTTCTTCTGAACCCTGCAAACTGTTCAACCTCTGCCTGTTACCCAGTTCCAAATTCACTTCCACATTTTTAGGTATCCTTATAGCAAAGCCCCACTACCTCAGTACATATTTACTGTATCAGTCCATTCTCATGCTGCTAATAAAGACATAACCAAGCTTGGGTAATTTATAAAGTAAAGAGGTTTAATTGACTCACAGTTCATCATAGCTGGGGAGGCTTCAGGAAACTTACAAGCATGGTAGAATGCAAAGGGGAAGCAAGTCACCTTCTTCATGAGGTGGCAGGAAGGAGAAGCACAAGCAAAGGGGGAAAAGCTCCTTATAAAACCATCAGATCTTGTGAGAACTCACTCACTATCATGAGAACAGCATGGGGGTAACTGCCTCCATGATTCAATTACCTCCCACTGGGTCACCATCATGATATGTGGGGATTATGGGAACTACAAATCAAGATGAGATTTGGTTGGAGACACAGCCAAACCATATCATGGGGTCTCACTTTATTGCCCCGGCTGATTTCAAACTCCTGGGCTCAAGTGATCCTCCTGACTTGGCCTCCCAAAGTGCTGGGAATACAGGCATGAGCCACCATGCCCAGTCCTAAAGTCTAAATTCTTAACATCTAAAATCCAGAAAATCACAATCACAGGAGAGTTGTACCAAGTTAGTTGCATCGTGTTAGGTACAACTGTTGCTTTGCTTTCTTTTTATTTGGAAATTATGTATGGTTTAAGGAGGTCCATATGGGTGCCAAATCTACAAGGGGTGGACTTGCAGACTTAATTTCAGGTGTCAACTTGACTGGATTAAGGAATCCCTGGAAAGCTGGGAAAGCATTATTTTGGGTATGTCTGTGATGGTTTACTCAGAAGAGATCAGTGTGTGGGTCTGAGCGGACTAGGTGGGGAAGATCTGCTGTCACTGTTTTGAATGTCCTGAATATCACAGAAGAAGTTAAAATGAAAGTAAAAAATGGACAAAATCTTGTCTGCCAAATTATGTAATCATGTACCAAACACCTCTACAGGTAGCACCATGCTTGCCTTCACAAAATGCCTTTTGTGAGATAATAAAAATAGTTCAAAAAATTCAGTGGCCTTCTGAGCCAGACACCTCCTGGCACAGAGCTTCCTCCAGTGCTACAAGGCATATTAAATCATGAACTATTCTTGATTAGGGATTTGACTGTCAAAAAAGATAAACATGTTTATTTACCACTAAGTTTAACATAACAAAACTGGTGCATGTTTCACTTTGGCTGATGAACGGCACTTTCAAAACTGTCCCCAGTGGGTTTTTTAAATCAACTTTATACAGTTTATGCCCCCATTGGATTACAAAATTCTGTAATTTAATCTGCATGTTTATGGTTTAATAACTGGAAAAAGTGAAGTACTTTTTAAAAGCTTATTTGAAGATTTGGAGGGCTTTGCAGAAGAAAATAGATTTCAATTGCATCCCCAAATTATAATGACAAGTTTTTAATTAGGTGTGATCAAGGCTTCTAAAAGTGAAATGCAAGTTGTTACCAGTAAAGTTTATATCTTCCCTTCAGCCCAGCTCATTTGCCAGAAAATTCAGGTGAGTGGATTGGCCAGACCATCTGGCAATGATGAAAATTTTAGTTTAAAAATGTGTCATTTGTCTGTATTGGCATTCCTTCCACCTGATAAAATTCCAGGAGCTTTTGATAAATTAAAACCACAATTGCCTGAAGAAGCCAGAAATATTACATACTGGTTTGAAAATAATGATGTGCAAGGTAGGATAAGAAGTCATTTAGGCAACGGTGTTGCTGTTCAATCAAGAGTATTGTTTCTGCCAAATGAGTGGCCTGTATATGAGGGCCTGCAAAATGGATTTCCACGTACTCAAAACAATAGACGAGAATGGCATAGAAGATTGGAAAATGTAATAGGAAATGCTCATGTCAGTGTGTATCAAATTATAGAAGAATTTCAAAAGGAGCAGTGCCACGTAGAAAATGAATGTGAATGTATTTTATGAGGAGAGTCAAATCCTAAAAACAAAAAAGGCAACTATTCATCGTGATGCATGACTTCAAAATATAGCTAATGATCATGAAAGTCAGCCAGCTATGATGAACTCTGCAATTGCCCATAATCTATCCATGTAATATACTTTGTATGTGTCAATTTTCTTTTTAGTTGTTTCTTTTTCCATTTTTTCCACTATTTTAAATTGTCACCATTATTTTTTACAAGTTGCTATGCTGTGTATTTCATCTTAGTATCATTTCCAATACTGAAGGTATAAATTTTGCAAAGACTTTTAGAGAGTTCTAATTTGTTTTATGCATTTTTTTTTGCAAATTTAACTCCACAAGAGTGCATTATCACAACACTGACTTTGTGTGTAACCATTGCACATGCACATAAAAACATTAAAGTTTCCTTAATAAATGAGAAGATATCCTTTTTGCACATTTGCATTTGGGAAAGAGAAAATTCCTCAGGATCTCAGCTCTTTGACTACATATTAGATGGTGACCCATCCCAGCTTTTGATGAATCTGGTCAAAAGACTTATGTTGTCTGTCACAATATTCCAGATGACCTAAGTTATAAAGCTGAGTGCACCCAGTTACCAACCATGCTTTTATACATTTTGCTTTTTGACCCATTTCTTTACAAATACAACTCATCTGCTCATTACCATTATACCCGTGAGACTATCGTTAGCATACCTGAGTTTTATGCTTGCAAATATATGTATGTTATTATTGCCTATTGATTGTGTAAAGTGGCCTAGGAAGCGTTCCGTTGTGTTTTTGTACGTTTCTCAAATTCCACCTTAAAAATATAAATAAATGCTTTTTGTTGTTGTTTTTAGACAGAGTCTCACTCTGTCGCCCAGGCTGGAGTGCAGTGGTGCAATCGCGGCTCACTGTAACCTCTGCCTCCTGGGTTCAAGCGATTCTCCTGCCTCAGCCTCCCAAGTAGCTGGGACTACAGGCACCCATCACGATGCCTGGCTAATTTTTTGTATTTTTAGTAAAGATGGGGTTTCACCGTGTTAGCCAGGATGGTCTCCATCTCTTGAATTTGTGATCCACCCGCCTCAGCCTTCAAAAGTTCTGGGATTAAAGACATGAGCCACCATGCGCTGCCCAATAAATGCTTTTTAAAGAATGTGTTAATAATTTTTTTCCAGAATTGTATGTTCAGAATTTTGTTTTTTTAGGATTGTAATTTTCAGGATTTTAGACTGTACAGATTTAGATCTTTTGGGACTTCAACATTTGGGATTACGACATTTAGGATTGTGTTTTCCTGAGCTGTGGCCCAAACTCGTGTGGTCCAACGCTATTTCACATAAGAGGAAAGCAAACCACGTGCACAGATGCAATGAAGGCTTAAATAGGCATCATGTATAGATTATATCCCAGGAAAACATGATTAAGATGATACTTAACGACTTTTTTCCCACGGTGAAAAAGATCCACATTCTTTTTCTTGTGTGGAATTAAACACAATTTCTGAATCAATATAAGTGAATGCAAATCACCACGTTCACTTAGCTGATGCTCCTTTATTAACAGGGATAGAAAGGAGGTCATTCGAAGAGATGATGGCACGGGACCCAGGACCTGAGGAAGCTGCAGTGGGTGAAGGGGAGAAACAGAGGAGCAGGGGCTGGAGAAAGAGTGGGGAGTCATCAACCACCCTCCTTTCTCCTGGCGTCTGGTTTTCGGGGCCCAGAGGTCTTCTCTAGGGCCTCAGAGAAGCTTCCAAGTCTGTTCATTTCTCTTTCCCCACCCCTGCTTGTATCACAAATAAAGAAATTATTGACAACTGAGTTCCTGACTAGGTGGCAGGATTTTAGGGACCCTTCACCTCGTCTGAAACTCATGAAGGTAGTGGGAATCCCATGGGTTAGTTAGCAATAGTCCCTGAGATTATTTGGTCATATAAATAATCAGAAAACTCATAGTCATCTTGCTTTTCTTATAATGCCCAGCTGGGGGATGGTGGGGGTAGGTAGGACTGAAGTGAGAAGAGATAGAACCAGAGCTGGCTTTCATGTATGGGGCTCTCCAGAGCAATCAGGCCTAAGTACAACCAAGAAGGGTCTTGAAGCCACTCTGGTGAGGGCAGCCTGGTCTCAGGCCCCAGCTCACACCAAGCACGTCACCTGTCTGACTGGGAAGCTTAAGCAATGTGTTTCTGTTTTTGCTTTTGTTTTCTGGTAAAGAATTCAATGTCATTAGCTACATTCACAATGCTGTGCAATCATCACCACTATCCATTTCTGAAACATTCTATCATCCCAGACAGGAACTCTGTGCCCATTAGACACTAACCCCGCCCATTTCCACTTCCTGCCAGTCCTGAAAACCTCTATTCTACTTTGTGTCTCCATTAATTTGCCTGTTCCAGGTTCTTCATATAGATGGAATCACGTAGTCTGTGTTTGACGTCTCACTTAGCATAATGTTTTTAAGTTTTATCTATGTGGTAGCAAGTATCAGAATTCCCTCCCTTTTTAAAGATCACTAATATTCCATTTTATGTCTATACCACATTTTGTTTATCCATCTATCCCTCAATAGACTTTTTAGGTTGTTTCCACCTTGTGGTTCCTGTAAATAAGGCTGTAATGCTGCAATGAACACAGGTGTAGCAGGCAGGTGTGGTGGCATGTGCCTGTAGTTCCTGCTACTCAGGCATCTGAGGCAGGAAGATTGCTTGAGCCCAGGAGTACTGGGCTGCAGTGTGTTGTGTTGTGTTGATCAGATGTCTGCACGAAATTAGACATTAGTACAGTGACCTCCTGGGATAAGGGACTACCAGGTTGCCTAAGGAGGGGCAAACCGGCCTGGGTTGGAGACAAAGCAGGGCACAACTCCCAGTTTGACCAGCAGGGGGTCATGCCTGTGGACAGCCACGCAGCAGGGAGATCCTGCCCATGGACAGCCCCGCAGCAGGGAGATCGTGCCTGTAAACAGCCCCGCAGCAGGGGGTCATGCCTGTGGACAGTCCCTCACCAGGGGTTCGTGCCTGTGGACAGCCCCGCAGCAGGGAGGTTGTGCCTGTGGATGGCCCCGCAGCAGGGGATTGTGCCTGTGGACAGCCCCGCAGCAGGGGGTCGTGCCTGTGGACAGCTCCCCAGCAGGGGGATCATGCCTATAAACAGCCCCTGCACTCCAGGCTGGGAAACAGAATGAGACCCTATTTATTAAAAAAAAAAGGGGGGGGATGGGGTGGGGAGAGAACACAGGTGCACAAGTATCTATTTGAGTAACTGCTTTCCATTCTTTTGAAGATAGATATAGGTAGATAAAGATACAGAGATTTATAGATGTGAGTGGGATTACTGAATCATATGGTAATTCTATGTCTAAATTCTTGAGGAACCGTATGTTTTCCACAGCCGATGTACTACTTTTCATACCCACCCTCAATGCACAAGAGTTACAATTTTTCCACATCCTTGTCAGCACTTGTTATTTTCTGGGTGTTTTTGTTTTGTTTTGAGGCCGAGTCTCCTTCTGTCTCCAAGCTGGAGTGCAGTGGTGTGATCTCAGCTCACTGCAACCTCCGCCTCCCAGATTCAAGTGATTCTCATGCCTCAGCCTCTCAATTAGCTGAGATTACACATGTGTGCCACCATGCCCGACTAATTGTGTGTGTGTGTTGTTTTTTGTTTTATTATTATTTTTTATTGGTACCGATGAGGTTTCACCATGTTGGCCAGGCTGCTGTCAAACTCCTGACCTCAGGTGATCCCAAAGGGCTGGGATTACAGGTGTGAACCAGCATGCATGGCCCCTGATTTTTTTGTTTTTTCTTTTTTGATAGCAGCCATCTTAATCGTTGTGCAGTGTGTGTGTGTGTGTGTGTGTGTGTGTGTGTGTTTAATATCACATTGGTGATTCTAATGTGTAACCAGGAAAGAAAAGCATGGATTCTGGGTCTCAATTTTTCATCTAGGTAAACCGGAGCAAATAAAACCTATTGAAGAGTTCTCCTGATGATTGAATGAGTTTCCCCATAGAAGGCAAAATCTACAAATGTTGGTTCCTCTCTTATTCCCTTGGAATTCTACTAAACTTCCTGCCTCAACATACAGAGAAACTCTCTGAAGCCTAAAACTATGCAGATTGGACACAGGGCTGATTTTAACTTCTGTTTTGCTTTTACCATATAGCTAGCTGCAGATGTCACATGTGTCCTCCATGACATCTAAATAGCACTACACCTGCACCAGCTTTTCTCTCAAATTAACTACTCATCAGTTCTATTATTAAACAAACAAGGAGCAGTTGTAATACTGAAGGAATGAGTGGAATTGTGCTTTAAAATTACATCTCTGCCAACACTTTTAGCTTGCTTGTTGAATAACTACAAGTTTTCCAGTTAAATTAATAGAATATTTTATACCCATAAAATCCTGAAATACTTGACAATACACACAACAAAATATTTTACAAGTAGAGAATATAATAAATGTATGACACTTTAGAAATTCATTGAGATAGGTTTAAACAGTGTTTACTTTTCATTGGTGTGCTTTCTTTCATCTCACAGTAATAAGCTGTGGTTTAGTTTATCGGCTGAATACTCACTATGCAGTCTTTTGTAAAATTTTGGAGGTCCGCAGTAATGTGATTATTGAGCTTCAACAGAATACACAGAAGATCCCAGGAACCACAAACTAATCCATCCACTATGCAGTATCTAAAGTGTTTGCAAAAATAAAAACAAACAACAACAACAAAAAAAACTGAACAATTGACTTGTAGCAAAGCTATCACATTAGTGCAAAAGTAATTGTGGTTTTGCCATTGAAAGTAATGAAAGTAATTGAAAGAATAGGTGTTCTAGCTGGACATTCTACAATGCATGCCACAACCATAGATCAATTGTGTATTGAAAACCCAAACCAACTGAGGATCACTGCTGTGCATTATTCCCATCGTGTCATAATGTGGCAAACTAAAACTAAGGACTTGTAACAAGGGATTTTCAGAGGGAGAGCAAACATAGCAAAGAAAACTGGCAAGAAAACTGGCAATTTTCAATTTTCTCAAATCAAACTATTCACTACTTTGTATCCTTCTCTACAAAATCCAGAACTTTTGATAGGATCACCCTTAGGTAAAACTGTAAAATGGGCAGCTTCTGATCAATAGGCCTCAACTCCTTTTCCCTTCTGTATCACAGACCGTGTGGGTGAATCCGTCACATGACCTAATACGATTTGGCCAGTTGGGAAAGGTCTCTTTAAAGAACTAACACTCAGGCTGGGATCTAGAGCAAAGCACCATAAACTTGAATGTGCATATGAACAACCTGGGGACCTTGTCAACATGCAGATTCTGATTCATTGGATCTAGGGTGGTGCCTGAGCTCTAGCAAGCTCCCAGAGATGCCTATGTGACTGCCTTGGACATCAGTTACAGTAGCAAGAATATAAGCAGATACCAGCCAACAAAGCAGGAGTGAATGCATCACGGCCCAGGCAGCCCTGGACCACGCCAGCTCAGGGATCTCAGAAAAGAGTAACTGGACTGAGGTCTATGAGTGCTTCCATGAGAGGTGAGGCTGAGAAGTTGGACAAGATCTAGGTCAATGTGTTAACTTCCTACTAAATGCAAGGCTAGGCTCTGCATAAACAGAAACAAATAAGGCAAACCTAGTCCTTGCATCTTTAGAGCTTGCAGTCTAGCAGAATTATTTCGTGGGTAGAAAATCATTAAATATTTTTAAACGAAGGAGAGACATGATCTAATTGAAATTTTTGAAGAACCTCTCTGGGTGTGCCATAGAAAAGGTATTGGAGAGGCCAAAAGTTGGAAAGACGAGTATATGTTTACAGATCAGCTGAAAGATGCGGATGACAGAAGCAGATAATTTTAGCACATATTTTGAAAGTGAAATAACAGTACTTGGTTGCAGGTTGTGATGGTAGGGGGGTTGCAGGAAGAAGAAAGCATCAAGGATGATGATGCTTTCTGGAAGAAGCAAATGGGTAAATGGAGACGATTTTTATAAAGAATGGTAAGGCTGAAGAAGAAATAAACTAACAAAAGGGAAATGATTGAGGAAGTGGCATAGATGTGGGGGCAGATCTCAAGAGTTTTGAATTCTGATTTTAGGAATGCCTGTGAAAATCCCAGTGGAGATTTCAAGATGGCAGGTGCACATAATGTTTTGGAGCTTGGGAGGAGAGGTCTGTAGGAGCCATATGCATATCTATGGTATCTAAAGCCATAGGAATTAATAAAACCTTGTCTAGAGTCTGTGTAGGCAGGGTTGTCCAATCTTTTGGCTTCCCTGGCTGCATTCGAATAAGAAGAATTGTCTTGAGCCACACATAAAATATACTAACATTAACAATAGATGATGAGCTTAAAAAAATCATAAAATATCTTATAATGCTTGAAGAATGTTTACAAATTTGTGTTTGGCTGCACTCAAAGCTGTCCTGGGCCACACGTTGCCCACAGGCCATGGGTTGGACAAGCTTAGTATGGAATAAGAACAGAAGAGGACCCAGGATTTAAGAACTTCAACATTTAAAGTTTGGGCAAAGAGGGAGAAGCTGATAAGAAAATAGTTCAAGCTGGAGGAAGAGGTCAGGGGTCTACTCTACCGAATGTTCCTGAGACCCCATTGGACTTATATATTACATAATATGTACAATATATGTTATTTTGGTGATGGATACCCTAATAGCTTTGAACTGACCACTATGCATGGAACAAAATTGCACATGTGTCCCATAAATTTTATATAAACAAAAGTAAATAAATAGAAGGAAGGAAAGGAGAAAGAGAGAGAAGGAAGGAAGGAAGGAAGGAAGGAAGGGCGAGGAAAGGAAAGGAAAGAAGGAGAGGAGAGTGAGGAAAGGAAGGGAAGGGAAAGGAAAGGAAAGGAAAGGAAAGGAAAGGAAAGGAAAAGAAAAGAGAGGAGAGGAAAGGAAAGGAAAGGAAAGGAAAGGAAAGGAAAGGAAAGGAAAGGAAAGGAAAGGAAAGGAAAGGAAGGGAAGGGAAGGGAAAGGAAAGGAAAGGAAAGGAAAGGAAAGGGAAGGGAAGGGAAGGGAAGGGAAGGGAAGGAAAGGGAAGGGAAGGAAAGAAGGAAGAGAGAGCAAGGGAAGGTTAGGAAAGGGAGGGAAGGAAGGAAGAGAGAAAGAAAGAGGAAAGAAAGAGAGAGAGAGAAAGAGAGAAAGAGAAGAAAGAAGAAAGAAAGAAAGAAAGAAAGAAAGAAAGAAAGAAAGAAAGAAAGAAAAAAGGGAGAGAAAGAAAGAGAGAAAGAGGAATAGTGTTCATGATGTTTAGGAATCACCAGTTCTGGGGGTGCTGAATTGTGTCCCCCCAGATTCCTATGTTGAAGAGCTGATCCCCACTGCTTCAGAGGGACTGATTTAGAGAAGGCATTCAAAGAGGTAAGTGAGGTCAAATAAAACCATATGGGTGGACCCTAAACCAATATGGCAGGTGTCCATCTAAAAAGAGATTGAGACACAGGCAACACAGCCTGAGGACAGAGCAAGAAGGGAGGCATCTGCAAGGCAGCAGTTCTCAGAAGAAGGCAAACCTGCTGACATTCCATCCTGGATTTCCAGTCTTCAGAGCTTGAGAAGATAAACCACTCAGTCTGTGGCAGCTTGTGATGGAAGCCCTTAGCACTCTTATATGGTGACCTTAGCACAAGCAGTTTCATAGGCTTGATGAAAGTGAAAGCCAAACTGACCTGAATAAAGAGTGAAAGGAAAATGAGAAAAAGGAGATAGTAAGTGTGGAAAATACTTGAGAAAAATTTGCCAAGAAAGGAGGAGATGACTTGATAGCTAGAAAGACACACAGAGTCAAAGTTAAGGTTCCTCCAAAATAGAAGATATTTTAAATGAAAAATTTATATTTAAATGCTGACAGAATGCATCAAGAAGGAGAGAGATTGAAGATGCAGATGACAAATGGAAAAGCAATGAACAGAATCCCTGAAAAGTCAGGAAAAGAAGGGAGATTATTAGAGGGATGTCCTTTTACAGGAAGAGGAATACTTCCTCCACTGCCCCAGGATTTAAAAAGCTTATAAATTACAGGTAACATTATACCTAATTATAGAGCTTTATGCTTTTCAATAAATTTTATTGTACATAATACAGTCACTCTGTGAATTCAGTGAGACAGATAGTTATCCACATTTTACATAAAAAGAAAGAAAAGGCAGAAAAGAAGTGATTTGCTTGAAGTAACACAGAAATAGCTGGTAGAACCATGTACTGTGTAGATGGTAGGGCTCCTGACTTCTCATTTCACACCAGAAATGTAGACAGAATTAGATATAATGACAGTTATTATATTTTAAACCTTTCAAATAAGAATATCCTTAGAATTTCATTCATTAACCAAGCTCAAAGCATGTGATTAGCATCTGAAAATGTTTTATTATACAATCACTAGACAGCAAAAGAGGTTTCCGTTTTCCTGTGTATATGAAAGAGTTCAACAGCCCTAAGTCACACAGTTGGAGGAAACTCAAACAAGGGAAATTTCGTTTGAAGTGATGAAATTAGCATAATGAAGTTTACAATACAAAGATTTTTGTTTCAAGACTCTGAGGTTTGGTAGGGAGGAAGGGGAAAGGCAGACGACACCAAATAAGACTGGTTGGAGAGGGGATGAGAAGCATCAATTAGAAAGCTCTTCAAATTCAAACGGACCGTTCAAACCATCCTAGGACTAGACTCCAATCGGGAAAGACTCTGAAGGAAATGATCTCCTACTCCCACGAGATGGCTAACGTGATTTAGGTAAAAAGCTTTTAGTTTTATGGCTGGGGAGGTAGCAATAAAGAAAATGAACCTCCTGCCAGTGATTCTTTTTCAAGCTCTGCCAATTCCTGTGTCTGGGGAAGCTATAAAGAATGTCCAGCCTCATGTCAAAAGAATTGCCACAGATCTCCAGCTCACCTACATTCAAGCATTGAAACATCCCTAAGCCTGTTCCCAGGCCAGCCTGGAACTGAGAATCCAGGAGAGTCTTTTCTGTTCTGCTGTTGCAGCTACACTATCTACTTGTTAGCATAACCAGGGCCACCAGCAACACATGCTAGAGAAATACAGAGAGCAAAAATCAACAGCTGATGAAAAGCAGAATCTTTTCTTTTTGACAGCAATACCAATAGCATGAAGCACGTCCCTTTTGGAGCTTTCCAAACCAATTCAAAAGCGAGTTTTCTGGTGTGGATCAAGAAAGCTAGCCAAATTGTCCCTGAGTGCATAGCCACTGGCCAAGATATTAATGACTGTAGGCAGCTCCGGATGCATCCTCGGCCCCGGTGCTGTCTTTCTCAGAGCTCTGTTTAATTCCATCAGGCACGGGAAGCATTTGGAGAAAGCTGTGTTGAATTTTGTGATCTTCAGCCAGCACAGAAGTGGCCAGTTCCCTAGCCTCCCAGCACTGTCCTTCTCCTGCCCTGCCCCTTCATGGCCTGCCTGGGCTCACTGGACCCAGGCTTTCCTTTCACCCCTGTCAAAACCTCACAGTCCTGTGTTTCTGTTTCCCTTTGAACTACACAAACTAACTAATTTGGTGAACCTATTAAGTGAACTTCTTTATACTCATGGTCTAGAGTGCATTGAACGCTAAAGGGTTTGCTAGAGGTTGTCAAAATCAATTCTGTCTTCTTCCAACTGGACCAAGGCTTTTTTGAGTTAATAAAACTCTGAGAAATCTGAGTGGATTCTTCATAGTATCTTTTTCTATTCTTTTGGGGTTTTTTTTGTTTGTTTTTTACTTTTCATGGAGATTTTCCTTAATTTAACCCAAAAGATATACCCATATGACATTTCAACTAATATGAAAGAGGTAGTAGGACAAAGAATTTGAAGACAGTCTTTCAGAGCCCCACAAAGTACTTGAAATTTATCAATAAACCCCTCCCGGTGCTTCCCACCATGTTCCACATTCCATTTCCATTTTAAGCCATGAAGCTTCAAGTGGCATCTCCTCCTGTGAAACCTACAGTTTGGATATAAATTATTGATGACTAATGACTTAGAAGAACCAAAGAAAGGATCCTCTAGTGGAGACACAGCATGGAAATGGTGGTCCAGGGTGAGACGGAACTGCTTCCAATCCCAGTGCCGCCTATGTGGTTCAGCTGTGTGCTTCCCTTCCTCTAATCTTGTTTACTCGTCTCTAATACCGGACTAATAACATATACATCAAACTATTGTGAGGGTTGAATGTAACGATATTCCAAATTGTTGCATGTGTCCAGTACTTAACATAATGCCAAGAACAAAACATGTATCAATAAGTATGAATAGCCTTCCCAGCGCACACCTCCAAACAATGGATTTCTGGCCGATGACAAGTAGTGGTTCCCAGCGGTCCTACAGGTTATGGTTTAACTTACCACTAGCCAATCAGTAAGTTTGCCTCAGACCACATCACAATTTTTTTGCAAGCCTGGAGCTTGGTGAAAAACAAGGGGGAAAATAATCAATGTCCCTAAGGCAGATGCTGAAAGATTAACCTCGTAACATAATTCTCTCACCAGACTTGTTTCCTGAATGTCTATTTAAATTTTAACTCTGCAAATAAAATAAAGTTGGTAATGAAGGTGATTAAGATGGTATTTATCCAGGGAACGAATCTCCTCCCTCACAACATACCTAAGAAAGAGATATATGTACAGAAAACGAAGCACAGTAAAATATCACTTCATTACTATCGGAGATTTTCCCCAAACACAGAGAAAGCTCTACAGAGCTGAGCTTAAGCCAGAACTCTGTTATTTACTTGGTCTAATGCCAAAACAGGCCAGAGACCCCTTTCACCTACTTCTCTTTAATCCCAAACTTATGTCTCGCTTTGATCTAAGAAAGAGCCAAATGCCCAGGAGGCGCCAGGGTAGAGAAAAGCAGCCAGCTGGAGAGTGGCCTCCGTGCCAGGGCAGTGTGTCTGAGCTTTGTTTTATTTTTCTTATTTGTCTGTAGTTGTGTGATTGGTAGAAGAGAGTAGATATGAAGTCTACTGACACAGGATTGGTCTTCAGGCATGTCTTACCAAGCATTTGGGGGAACAGAGGGGTTCCACAAATAAGAGAGCAATGATCAGACTTTCTTCTAAAAGGAGCAGCCACAAGCTACCTTAACTCTCCAACTTGCCCATTAATCTTCACCTAGAATTAGGAAGATTTCACCATTAGCTGTGGCACATAAAAGATCCTTAAGCTTGACCAACCACAGAGGTCCATCTCCTTGAGGAGGAAGTGAAAGGGGTATGGACAGAAGCTGTGAGCTTTCTGTCCTCCGCAGGCCGCCAGCTGTGTCTTCTACTTATTGTACAAGATAGTCTCTAAATGATGTTTTCTGGCTGACAATGCCACAGAACTGATCCTTATCTCACTATGGAAATGAAAGATTTCAAAGAATTTGTTGCCTGAAATATGGTGCCCTAATCACATATTAATAAAGCTGCTATCCAGATTTCAAAAGAAATGTTGTTAGCATTCTCAGGGACCTAAAAAGTACATATTGTAGAACAACGGTAAACAGATCTTGGAATCCGGTAGACTTTAATTCAAACCCCAGCTATGCCACTTATTAACTTATGTGACATTGGGAAAGCCTCTCAAATTTAGATTTGCAAAATCAGAATAATGTAAGTAGCCAACAAATAGTGTTTAATGGAGGTAATAATGAAGGTTATTAAGATGATAAAATTAAACAGTGAATATAAAGTCCTTAGCATTTAATAAATTTATCATATGATTTCAAAGCACATGTTTTACCTACAGTGCGATAAAACTGCTTGCAATAGTCAAAGTTAATAGAAGCTCTCGTCAGAGCTAATAGAAGCCTTGTATATGTAATTATTTAAGAATTCTGTAAATATATACAATAGGGTAGGAATGAGAAAATCTTTAGAGGAAATATTCAAGTATGTTTGATTTCTAGCAAATCCAGATAGACAGTTTTGGCAACAACCAAGTCATAATTTTAAGTCTTGTTATAGGAGCTAGAATTTTATTCAAGGGACAACTGATTTGATTAGATTAGATGTTGTGCACTGCATGTTTCCTTCAACAAATGCACAAGTTGAAACTCTAACAATAGAATGGCATTAGAAGGAGGACCTTTGGGAAGTAATTTGGTGTTGATGAGGATGGAGTTCCCACAGTGGGGTTAGCATCCTAATAAGAAGAGTAGGAGACTAGAGCCCTCTTCTCTCAGCCATGTGAAGATACAACAAGAACACCTGCAAACCAGTAAGAGGGCCTTCACCAGACACTGGCTCTGCTGGCCCAGATTTTAATCTTTGAATTCCCACAACTGTGAGAAACAAGTATATGCTGTTTAAGCCACTCAGTCTACAGTTGTTTGTAGAAGCAGCCTGAGCAGAAAAAGACATAGGGTTCCTTTTATTTTCAGAATTCGGTTTAGCTGTAATCACCTACCATCCTGAGATGCAGTTTCCTCCCTTGAAATATAAGCTCTGGGACTATAGCCTCATGGACAAATTCTGAAGAATTTGTCTCTGCTCTTGTGGGATGCTAACCTAACCAATCAAGGAATGTTTGCTCAATGGAATGAAACATCTTAATGCAGCTCGCCAGCCAATATCTGCAAAGCACACCTCATGGGTTCTGGCTGGCTTGGATTTCTGAGACTACTTCATCCTACTCATCAAACTGTGGACTCAGATTCAGCCAGGAGGCCCAGATTCTAGCGTCAGTTTTGCCCTTGGGATACAAATGCACGTTCTGCTTCACTGAACATGAAACCCTGAATATTTGTCCATTACTCTGGCAATTGTCCTCTCTCCCTGTGCCAATTGCCAATCAACCCAACTCCCAGGCAGCTTTGGCAGTTATGTCTGCTTGGCCTGCTGTAGCAGCCAATGACTTAGTAAAAGTCAGAACATAGATCTGCTAGCTCCCAGTCCAGGATTTCCCCATAACTCGTCCATGTTTATATTAAACAACTAGGTTTGCTTTCAAAATTCTTTTTCATTTAGCCTCTTCTTAGAACTTCTCATTTTGAGAATCCTGACCTGCCAATATTCCATAACCTTTCTGAAAGTGACACAGCAAATACGATGTATGCACACTGCTAACTGCAGCTGATTTCATTTTCCAACATCTATAAAGCACATTAGGTAATTTCTAAACCAGCAGCAAAATCTATTTATAAAGAATGCTGATTTGTTTTCTGCATTTTCCAACACAGAGCTTCAATTTATTTCCTTACCATAAAAAAAACATTACTTTTTAAAACAATCATAGTTAGTATATTTTATAAATGCTTTAATTTTTGTAAAGTCCAACTTGCAAATTGGAGTGTAAATAGCTTTCTTAAAATGGAAGGAACCGTGTTAGACCCAGTATGCTGATTGATTATTTCACTGTGCTTCAAAGCAGACAATTTCACAGACATTGGGTATATAATGTAATGAGTTTTTATAAAGCAATTGATATTATTAAAAATATAATTATAATAAAAAAAATTATAGGGAAAAGGAAATCTTCATTCTGACAATGCCAAATTTTTTAACTAACTCATTGCTAAAAGATTATGTTTCTACATGAAAAATTTTACACATTCTTTCTATGAAATAAACCTGATAACACCTTGAAAACTTCATAGTTATGGAAAAGGAACTACTGTGATTTTTTTTAGAGAATGTCATGTTCTTGATGTTCTTGAGTGAGCTGTCTCATGTTATTAGAAAGGAAACAGCAGCACCCTGTGGACAAACAAAGAAAGTGAATGAATTTTTAGGACCCGGTGCGGTGGTTCAGGCCTGTAATCCCAGCACTTTGGGAGACTTGGGCGGAGGGTAACTTGAGCCCAAGAGTTCAAGACCAGCCTAGGCAACACAGTGACACGCCGATCTTTACCAAAAATTGAAAAATTTGCTGGGCTTGGTGGCTCATACTTCAGGTCCCAGCTACTTGTAAGGCTGAGGTGGGAGGATCGCTTAAGCCCAGGAGGTCAAGGCTGCAGTGACTGTGATCATACCACTGCATTCCAGCCTGGGTGACACAGCAAGACCCTATTTCAAAAAGAGTATATTTATGTGGCACTTTCTACAAGGAATATAGTATCATGTTTGTACTTAAATGACATCAGGACCAGCATGGTGGCTTACACATGTAATCTCAGCTCCTCAGACGGCGGAAGGCAGGAGGATTGCTTGAGGCCAGGAGTTGGAAGACCAGCCTGGGCAGCATAATGAAACCCCCATTTCTACAAAAATAATAATAGTAATCCAAAGCTAGGCGTGCTGGCACACACCTGCAGACTTAGCTGCTGTGGAGGCTGAGTGGAAGGATAACATTGAGCTCAGGAGTTTGATTGTATTGTGTATTGTGAGGTACGATCTAGCCACTCCACTCCAGACAACACGGCAAGACCCAGTCTCTAAACAAAATAAAGGGACATCAGAGCATTGTTTATAGAGATTTATAAATGATCCCAAAATGTCTTCAGAGAGATAAATAATCTAAATATAGCTATATCGACTCTTCCTAAATTCCAAATTTGGGTGGGAACAATAAATGAGATAGAAGACTTCTTGAAATGTATCAAGACTCAGAAAGACAAAACTAAAACTTTCATTAGGCAGTATCAAGAATGTTCATTAATGCTATTTCTAATTTATGATACGATCATCTAAAGAGAAAATCCCAGCAACAAGAGGCCAAAGGAAAGGGAAAAGAAATGAAAACAAGGACCATACTTTCTCCACATCCAACCTCTTCTCTACCACCTCTCAGCAAGACCTCCCACACCCAATCACTGCTTTCTCTTGCAGACTTACCCTCTACTCTGTGAACACATGATCCAGAGAACCCTGAGAAGTCCCTGAGTCCCTTCCAGGGTCTCTGCAAGGTCAAAAGTCTTTTCATAAAAATACACAGGTTTTGTTTACCTTTTCCACTTTCCTTGTCTCTCAAGTATAATTGGAGTTTCCCAGAGGCTACCTGACATGTGATGTCAAAAGAAATTAAATGTAGAAGTAGAAAGGAGAACAAGTTTTCTTCTATTAAACCAGACATTAAAGACACACCTAAAAATATAAAACAATGTCACTGTTCTCCCAAACTTTAATGCTTAAAAATGATAATTTTAAATAAAAATGTGATTTATGTAAACATATAAGTATATATTTTTTTAATTTCTCAGCTTTAATGTCTACTATGATAAATATAGATAGACATAATCCAAATAATTAAAAGCTCTTTGGGGTCCTCAATAACTTTTAAAAATGTGAAGTGTTCCTGAAACCAAAAATTTGAGGACTGATGAGCTAAATCTCATACCCTTTGTTGTAGCTTCCACCCAGGTCATTTCTTAAATACTTGATCAATAATTTCCCCATGTCCCTCACCCTATCCTTGTTGCAAAATTCCATTTTCCTACTCCAGCCCTCCCTGTCATGAGAAAGTTCCCAGGTTGTAGACATGATTTACTAAATCTTTCTTAACAGCTTTATCATGATAACATGACATATACAAATTGTGTAAATTTAAGGTAACTTAATGTTTTGATATTTCTATACTTTTTGAAACGATCACCACAATCAAGCAAATTAGCATATTATCTCTACATATTTACCGTTGTGTGTCTGTTGACAGTAATTAATTTATGGTCTAGTCCTTTAGCAGAACACAATATGATACAGTGTTGTTCCACTTTGTACATTATATCTCCAGAAATTATAATAACTTGAACATTGCACAATTTAATTAACATCACCCCATTTCCCCTCCCTGAGCCCCTGGCAACCACTGTCTTATTCTCTGTTTTTATGAATTTGACAGTCGTAGATTCCACATGTAAGTGAGATCATGAAGTATTTGTCTCTGTGTCTTGCATTTTTGCTTGGCGCAATATCTTCCATCTCCATCAATGTTTTCACAAATAGAAGGATTTCCTTCTTTTTTAAGGGTGTATAATGTTTCATTTTATGTATACACGTCACATTTTCTTTACCCATTCATCTGTTCCTCTGCCAAAGGACCTTTAGGTTATTTTCCCATTTTGGTCATTGTGTGTCATGCCGCAATGAACAGAGGATGACAGACACCTCTCTAAGACTCTTATGTCAATTTCACTGGACATATATCCAGAAGTGAAATTGTTGGATTATGTGGTAGTTCTTTTTTCCATTTTTGAAACTGGGTCTCACTCTGCTATCCAGGGTAAAGTCCAGTGGCAAGATCATAGCTCACTGCAGCCTTGATCTCCTGGGCTCAAACGATCCTCCTACCTCAGCCTCCTGAGTAGCTGGGACTACAGGTGTACAACACCATGTCTGGCTAATTTTATTTCTGAGATGGCGTCTTGCTATGTTACCCAGGCTGGTCTGGAGCTCCTCGCCTCCTGCCTTGGCTTCCCCAAATCCTGGGATTACAGGTGTGAGCCATCACACCAGGCCAGTGCTATTTTCAATTTTTTTTGGAGGAACCTCAATACTGTTTTCTGTGTTTTACTAATTTGCATTCCCATCAATAGTGTATAATGGTTTCCTTTTCTTCACATTCTTACCAACACTTATCTTTTCGATAATAGCCATTTTAACAGGTGTGACATGATATCTCATTTTGGTTTTGATTTGCATTACTCTGAAGTTTAGAGATGTTGAGCACATTTTCTTGTACCTGTTAGCCATTTGAATTTCTTCTCTGGAGATGTATTTATTTAGGTTCTTTGCCTTAAAATAAAATTAGGTTATTCATAATTTTGGAATTGATGTGTATGTATCCTTCTTATTTTTTGAACTCCTTATAAGAGATATGGTTTACAAACATTTTCCCCATTTCGTAGGTTGCCTTATCATTTCATTAGTTTTCTTTGCTGTGCAAAAGCATTTTAATTCGATGTATTTCATTTGTCTATTTTGCCTTTGTTGTCTGTGCTTTTGGCATCATATCTAAACAAATTATTGCCAAGACCAATGTCAAGAATGTTTTCTCCTGTCTTCTTCCAGGAGTTTTGTTTCAGTGATTACATTTAAACGTTTAATCCATTTTGAGTTAATTTTTACATAAGGCGTGAGCTAGGGATCCGATTTCATTCTTTTACATGTAGACATCCAGCTTTCCTAACACCATTTGGTCAAGAGCATGTCTTCTGCATATAGTGTCTCCTTGTCACCTTCCAGGGTGATCAATTGCTGCAAATGTGTGGGTTATGCCTAGGTTCTCTATTTTGTTTCACTGGTTTATGTGTCTGTTTTTATGCCAATACCACAGTGTTTTTCTTTCTACAGCTTTGTAATTTAATCTGAAGTCAGGAAGTGTGATACCTGTAGCTTTGTTCTTGCTCAAAATAGCTTCAGCCACTCAGGGATTTTTGTGATTCTATATGAATTTTAGGATTTTTTTTCTATTTCTGTTGGAGATACCATTGGGATTTTGATATGGATTACATTAAATGTGTAGATTGCTTTGAGTAATATGGACACTTTAATAATACAGTACTAACTCTTTCAATCCATGGGTTGTCTTTCAATTTACTTTGGTTTAAATTTCTGTCATCAATCTTTTATAATTTGTAGTGTTTAAGTCTTCCACTTCTTTGGTTAGTTAGTTCCAAAGTAGTTTATTTGATACTGTTTTTTAAATTTCCCTTTCAGACAATTCATTGTTAGTGTTTAGAAATAGCAGTGATTTTTGTATGTCAATTGTGTATCCTACAACTTTAGTAAATTTATTATATAGTCAGTCCTTCCTATCAATGGGTTCTGCAACCATGAACTCAATCAACCATGAACCTAACTTGTACATATTTTCCATCTGTGGTGGTTTGAATCCACAGATGTTGACCCATGGATACATAGGGCCAGCTGTACACGATTTTATGTGAGGGAATTGATCATCACAGATTTTGTTATCTGAGGGGTTCCTGAAACAAATCCCCAGCAGATATGAAAGACTGACTATTATTTCTAACCATTTTCTGTGGAGTCTTTAGAGTTTTCAATGTATAATAATCATGTCTTCTGTTAACAGAGGTAACTACATCTTTCCTTTCAATTTTGATGCCTTATTGAATTTTGTCAAATGTGTTTTCTGCATCTATTGGAATGTTATTTTTGTCTTTCATTCTGTTAATGTGGTATATCACATTATTAATTTTTACACATTGAAGCATCCTTGTATCCCATAGATAAATTCCAATTGGTCATGGTGTATGACCTTTTCAATGTGCTTTTGAATTCAGTTTGCTAGTTTGTATTTTATTGAGAATTC